>NC_000006.12:11575151-11726666 GCF_000001405.40 Homo sapiens
TTTATGAACATATTTGCTATCAAGTATGCAGCATATACCATAAATATATATCTTTTGGTTGAATAGAAAAGTCTGTTTTTCAAATAAGTGGCTAAGTGTATTATGGTAAGTTGTAACTTTCACCAATCACAGGGAAACTTTTTCATAGAAAGTGGATAAAATGAGAAAAAAATGATGACTTATGTTTTGATGAAATGAAAAGAGCTCTTAAGGTGCAGCATGCAGTGTGTTATAAAACGAGTGACTGTATCCCTTCATTTTTCTCCCGTTTCTCCTTAGGTGCAGCAGTAGCGGGCATTTACAGAGTAGCTGGGAAGAACATGGCCCCTTTGGAAGCGCTGGTATGGGGCGTTGGACAGACTGTACTGACATTAATCATCTCCTTTTCAAGGATCCTCGCTACACTTTGAGGTTTCTGTGGGAATGTCTTACTTCACATAAGGAAACAGATGTACAGATTCCCTGAAAACGGCATTGTTAACAAGTGGAAATGAAATTGTGCAAGAATGTGGACTGAGCAGGTCAAAGCATAAGGAAGACCTTGAGCTGTGTGGAAGGATTGCCCTCTGGTGTTCAAGTGATTGCACTACCGCACTGCACCTTATGTGCCTCTGTCTCAGGCAAGGTGCATTAAGACACTATGTAAAGTTACAAGAAAAAGCACCTTGTTTAGCTGCCTATCAGGTTAACATTGGTGTTGAAATCATCGTTCCTAACAGTGTTATGTTAAGTTACAGGGACGTTTTGAGGTATTGATATATGTGCCAAACTCTTTTCTTTTTGTTAACATTGATCATGTGACAATTTGCAAGTGTAGATGTAGCTGAGTGCTGTGAACATATTTGACATGAATTCAGGTAATGTACTAAGATTTTTGTTCGGTAACACTAAATCCCGTATGAGTGCTAAATACTGAATTGTTTAATATGAGAGAAATTATTTGGTTTTTAATGTTGCGCGTTTCTGGGATTTAGGGCTTCAATATGTTTAGGTATTATTGTTATTTAATTGATGTGGAAGATAAGTCTTCTTAACTGAAGACTAGCTCAACTGTTTTAAGAACTCAGAGTAGCTCTATAGGGTGCATACTTTTCACCAACTTAAGTAACACCCTTTTAATAGCTTCTCTCATGCATCCATATTCTGTTTATACAAATTCAGAAACTTGAAGGGTCATACACATTGATTGTAGTTTGTGCGTCATAAAAATGTAATTTGAAGATTTTCTTAAAAATTTTTGTAAGAAAAAAGTCTGAAATGCATGTTGCATTCTTTGACCCTTCTAAAGAAAGTTTTTGCCTTGTATCTCATGGACAAAACATCTTTATAACTAGTATCTCAGTGGGATTGTATTACGTGTTGCATATATCTTGATTTTTGACAAAACATAAACAGTCTTTCATTCTGGAGTATTAACTGTTTTTAGAGACTGGCCTAAATTAGGCTCTGGAAATAAAGACCTCATTTGTAGAAATAAGTAACAAGTAAGTTATATAGGAAGAGTAATGAACTATTTTACTTTGGACATGTGGCAACATCATAATTTTGCTAAGTAAAAATTGGGGAATATAGTAGATAATTTTAAAATTTGGCAATTAGTCTCAGCATATCAATGCAGTACTGAGCGTGTATTAGAGTAATTCAGTTGTTCAGTTCTTGATTTATGATATGAAGTTATGATTTAAGTTTAGTAGAAGAATCTGTGAGGGCATATAGCAAAAGTGGAAATGTCCTTTATATAAAACATTTTAAGAGGTTCTGGCAATACGTAATTGTAAGAGTATAGGAAGTAGGGTTGAACTGGTCTCCTAATGAGATTTTTTTTGGCACCAGATACAATTATAATGTGCTAACTCAAAGGAGACATTGCAGAGAATATGAAGTTAAGGATAATCCAAAAATAACCTGGTAGCCTTGCTGTTTAATCCAATTTGCTATAAAAGTAGGCCTTTGTTATATTACATTCAAATTTAAGAACTTTGTTACCCATACCACTTTTTCTCTATCCAGAAGCAGAGTATATCCACAACTTACCAATGAGAAGTTGGAGAGGCAGTACTTTTCTCAGTATGGAAGCCAATTTGGGAGATTTACTAACACTGGCTTGGAAATTTGTTTTAAAAAAATAATAAGCAACTATGCATGGATCTTTGAAGTAAATCTTAAAATTGATTATTTTTATTATGTACAGGCCTGAAATTGTTTTCATGTGTTCTTTATATTCCTGATGTTTTTACAAATTAAATTTAGGCATAACTTTTCCAAGTCAATCTGATTTTTTCTTTTCTGCCAGACTTGAATTGTGTTCTTCTTTTACTTTGGCTATTCTGTCAATAATTTAAAGCATTCGTATTCTTCCAGAGGAATTACCAATAGCATGTGGAAATTGTTTCAGATCTCCAGAATGAATACTTATTTTAACATATGTTTATTTTATGATTTAAGAAAGTTATGGTAAAGTAATATGGAGCATGATTCATAATCCAAAATTAACAAGAAAATAACTTGGATACATTAAATGTACTAATGTGTGGACCAAAGAGATTTAAACTATTGTTTTTACTCTAGAATGAAAGTATAATTGAACGGTTAATAATTAGTTTGTAGAGTGTCCTGCAGTTATTATCAAGTTGCTTTACATTATCAATTGTGTGTGTATGTGTATACTTTTAATTTTAGGGGTTATTTTTGGTTTCTTTGCTGTTTTCAGTTATTTCCATTGAGATTTTGTGCAACTGTCTCTCTTTTGATGTTTTGAGATGCAGTTGAATAGTTTGAGTTTGTGAATTGTCTTAATAGCTATTTATATGCTGAAATTTTTAAAAAGTTAGTAGCTTTCCTATAGACACAAGAAATGTTTAATGATATATATACACACACGTATATATCATTATATAGGTATATAGAGAGCTGCTATATATGAATACAGTCTACTTGGAAAGCTTTTTTTCAGTGAACACTTTCATGTTCTAGTGGAAAATTTGTTCAGTGTAATGATCTTTTAAATAGGTTTGAGGATGTTTGAAAATTTTGAATTTTGGGAAAATTTTCTTCACTTAATAGAGCTGGAGACCCTTGTTTGGGACATGACAAAAGTCCTTATTGATGTATTTGGGTTATATACTTTGTTAAAATTCGTATGTGATTTAGCAGTACATTTTCTTCGTGACAAATGCAAGAAGGGAGGGAGGATCCTCTATAGTGGACACTCCTTTATTTAAAAAATGTTTAATAAAATATTGTTTATAGTGAAATCAGCTCCCCAAAGAAGGAACTCCTACATGCCCAAACTAATTACAGTTGAACATACTGATTAAAAATGCCATAGATCACAGCTAGTCAGGAGGCCTCAAATAAACTGCAAATAATGCTTAAAACTTTAAAAGAAGGAGAACCAGCAGTCTTCCGAACCATGGGACAGTTCCAAGGTAATAGCCTACCTTGCCTAGGATAAGTGAAGTCCTAAATGATGGCTATCTTCAGGGCCTGGAGCAGAATTATTCTTTAGATCTTAATGTTTACCAAACAGTGTTACAGTTTGTTACCCAATATACTTTCTTAGTATTTGCAGCATACATTTCACTGCTCAAAAAAGTATAAGGGTTTTGTTTGTACTTTAAATGAGAGAAATAAAGAAATGAGTTGGCCTGTATATCTTGTATTTGTGATATGAGCAACGGGATAATTTGAAATCACAGAATGTTGTGGGAAAGGTCTTTAAAGAACCTCTAATGAAGAAAATGTGGCTGCCACATTGATGTACCTAGGCTGCCACTCATACAGCAAATAATTCTATTTTGTAAACACTTCGTGTGGATCCACTATGTAAAGTGCTCTACCAAGTATTTTCTCTAGTAAGAAGTACAAGAATTACCAAGATGGAATTCTTTACCTTGAGTACACCAAGAGCTAGCAAGATGATTTTTAAATCCTAAAAAGTTTGGGACAACATTTTGCTTCCTGATTTTAGTTGAGAGTTAGCCTGTTATCCCTCCAAATTCTCATTTTCCTGGTTCATCCACTAAATAGAATTTCCATAACTGAGATATCATGGCTGTGACATAGTGAAGAGAATACGAGACTCCAAGCCAGCAACACAGATTGAATTAAGACTCTGTCACTTGTCAACTTTTTGACCTTGAGCAAATCACTTAACTTCTCTGAGCCTCAGTTCATACTCCGTAAAATGTGACTAATACCTCATGTAGTTATTGTGAGGATTACGTGAGATTGTTTATGAATGGCAAAGCAGTATGTATTTCACAGTAAATGATCAACTGATAGTCTCTAGAATTTTTTTAAATTACATTTTGCAATTGCATTACCAATTGAATATGTTGTTTTGTAAAATTCATCAATTTTGTTTCATTTCTATATTTTCCTTACATATGCTTTAGGAAAGAAACTAAAAACGTTTTCTTATAATCTTGCTTCATCTCCTTTTCACTTTTTCTTTTTAAAATCAGCAGATCTTTAAGAACCTTTTGTGAATTGGTGGTGGTGGAAATGGCCAGTGCAAGCAGGATTAAATTAGGAGTTCTGTTGACCACTGGTTAAAATAGGAAAAGGGTAGAGAGGTAGTCAGCCTTGACTCCCTTATCTATTCCCACTTACTTCCCTTGGATTCATTCAGCCATGTTGATTTATTGACTTTCTGCTATTTGCTAATTATTCTTCTTGAAAAGTAAGAGCGATATATAACCCTTCAGTCTTCTATATGTCTGTTTCTTCTGCCGGCCCTGGGCCCTTGGCTCTACAGTGTAGTGCCAATTCTGTAGAAAAATAGAACGATATTCAGTGTCTACCAAGTTCTTTCTTCCACAGGCCAAGGGTGCTTAAGCCCTAGCTGTTATTTTGTTTCTTTTATTTATTTATTTTTTGAGACGGAGTTTCGCTCTTGTTGCCCAGGCTGCAGTGCAATGGCATGATCTCAGCTCACCGCAACCTCTGCCTCCCAGGTTCAAGCGATTCTCCTTCCTCAGCCTCCCGAGTAGCTGGGATTACAGGCGTGCACCACCATGCCTGGCCAGTTTTGTATTTTTAGTAGAGACAGATTTCTCTATGTTGGTCAGGCTGGTCTCAAACTCCCGACCTCAAGGGATCCACCCACCTTGGCCTCCCAAAGTGCTGGGATTACAGGTGTAAGCTGCCGTGCCCAGCCTATTTTTTTTTAACTTCAAATACTATTATTTTAAATTTATGTTCATTATGTAATTCAGGGAGTAACGATGCCTGGAGCAATTTCTGAAATATTCTCAAACCACTTCACTCTTGACACTACAGATTTTTCTCTCAGTCTCAATCAGAATCTCTGCAGTCATTATTTGTTTTTAAGATGTGAGGGACGAGGAAAATTACTGAAGAAATTCTAGCAGATTTCGATTGCAGAGAAATTTGGTAACACTTTTTGGGTAACTGGGTAAATTACTATTTCTTTTAATAATCGGGTGAAACTCTGAATTGTTAAAACGGACCAATAATCAAATGGTTTTATAATCTTTCTTAACTTCCCGTCCTTGTTATAACATCTTGGAAGAAGACTCTTCAGGATAAAAAGGATATTATTTGATTAAAAATTATAGCATTTGGAGAGGTAACACACAAAAACAAAAACATATTTGACAAAGCGCCCTACATCCTGTGTTTTGTTAGGACTAGAAACTATACTGGATGAGTATGTATACTGCATGTTTACACATGCTGTGTTTCTTTATATGTGAGGCTTCACTGACCACCGTGCATTTTGAAATTGTATTGCATTTTGTGTGTGTGTGTGGTGACAGGTTTGCTCTTCTCACTTAAGGAGCTCTGGTCTGTGTAGGCAGTACAGTGTTGTTAGGGAGGTTGCTGAATTATCTAAAAATGTATCCATGAATTTGGGGGAAATAATGCTTAATATCTGAAGTATTTTCAGTAAATGTGGAGATATATCAGATAATACTTTTAAATTAGTGGAAACACATTTCTGAGTGAACTGAGCTATGAACTATAATCATCTCTTCCCCTGAGTTTAGGGAAGTTGTTTTCACATTCTTTACATTTATTGCACATATACTGAACTTACATAATAACTCTTCCCTGATTTTGAGAACGAATTTAGCAATTTCCTAAAAATCTTCCTCCTCTTTCCATACAGATGTCGTATGTTATAGTTTAAACATATGTACAATTTGTTGATAGAATCCAAGGAGCTGGTTTAGGAAAGAATACTCTTAACCCCTACAGTTATGCAGCTCTAATCTTACTGAAAAGTAAATACTTTAGGCAAGTCAGGAGAGCATGAACCTCATACATACATTTTTACGATTATGTACTGCACCCACATGTATCTACTCTTGGTAGTAACATGACTCCACCCTTTTTGGGAATGTATTTAGGTGGATAACTGAAACGGAAAAGCAGTTTGACACAAATACACAGAAAGAGGAATTGCGGTGCATAATCAATCGTCTGAGTCCCATAACTGTAACACTTTTTCTCTTATAAATTGGTAGTTCCTAAAAATCACCACTTTAAAAATTTTATTCTGTCTTGCTGAATTAAGCAGAAATCACTTTTTTTAGAGCCTTGTTTAAAGGAACGTTAACTCGAGAGTACTACTGATGATGACGCTTCTCTTGTTTTTAAAGTATTTACACATCATTGTTAAGTATTTTTGGAATGGAACATTTTAAAGTTTTCTCCATAGAAAGCAACATAGTGGCACTTGTTGAGTAAATGATCATAAAAATGACTTGCTTTTAATAGCAGATGAGTTGATAGTTTAACTGTTGACACTTTCTTAATGTTTTTGATGTTGGATGCATTTACAATGGAAGAATTTTTTTGAAAGATTTGGCCCTCTCACCAATACACACATTCAGACTTGAGCTGCACGCATTTAGATGAACAAATAGGAAATTCACGGTATTTTTTGTTTTAGCCATCCAAAATTCATAGGATTCTACCAAAAATATTAGCCCCTGACTCTAGTTATTCTGAGATGAGGGAATCAACTTTATCTTGAAAGTTAACTAGCTAAAATGTCTTTATTTAAATAGCAAAAATATAGTTTACCTGACAAGTATTAAAAGTCTCACTTTCAAATTGTGTTAACTCTCAGACCACTGATGAATCTTTTGGTAAATCACAGGCAGATTTTAAAAGCTAAATGAAGCCTTAGTGCCTTGAAAGTTAAGATACTTGTGCAAAATGGATTTAGCAAGATTCAGGATTGGCACCAGTGAGTTGGCTAGATACACATCACCAGTGACTGGGAATTCAAAGTTTAGAAAGCCTAACGAATAGTAGCTACTAACTTCATATGGTTCAATGTAAATCAGTTACTTAGTCATTGACTGTGACAGATGACAGCTACTTTCACTATATTTTCATGATGTGGTATTTTTCTCTATTTTTTCTTTTTCCAAGTATGAAATGGAAAAAAATGTAGTTAAGAAAATTAAGTGTGAGACTTTAAAATTTAGTTTTGTTGTAAACTAGAGATTCTAGTGAACAGTGTTAGTTTTATACTGTAGTACAGGGCACACACTTTAACCTTTAGAAATATGTTTACCATCAGGGATTTATTTTTACTATAGAAATACTAAATGTACTGTGAAGCTTAAAGACAGGAGAATAAATGTTGGAGGGGTAATACACAAAAACAAAGGCATATTTGATGAAGTACCCTGTGTTATGTGAACACAATTTCCCCTTCTGTTAAGACTATAAACTATATGAGTATGTGTACTGCATGTTTACATAAAACAGTTTAATTTTGAAGGATTATTTTAAAAACTATGTTTATATATAATACCTAACAAGCTGTAAATATTGTATATTATTGATTTTTAATTTTATATAAGCAATTTTTTATTTCCCAATTCATGTACAAATCTCATTATGTATATAGCATAATTTCCTGGAGAACACAAATTTTGCAGTGAATTTTAAGTAATTTTAATTGCAGTAAGCATCAGTTTAGCCTAGAGATGTTGATCTTTATTTTAAATTATTTTTCACCATTCTCATTTTCTTCAAAGGGCAGCAATAAACATATGCAAGTTATTTTTAATTATAGAAAGTAGGTCTACAAAGATAAGATCTAGGTTCCAATTCATTGCTTTAAGGAAAAGATGCACAATTACTATCATTCAGTGTCTAATCACAGGACCATTTCTGAGGTCCACATGTGGCTCTCCTCTTTGTAATATACAGGGTGAACTCTTTACTGATACACACAAGACAACTGTTAAAAAGTGAATCCAGCACTTAAATGTCATTACACAGAATTTATTGGATTAAAAATTTGTAATATACAGTATTTTAATAAAGTTTCTGTATTCAATTTCATGCACTTATATATAAATAAACCTGTCTTTGAAAGCTTTATGGGGTGTTTGACTCTTGGTGATAAATCTTTTCAATTCATTCACTATGGACTCAAATGTCTTCTCTTGCCTTTTTGTCAATTTTTCTGGCCCTGTTTTACCTACAGATTTAGGAGTTAGTGCTTAAAAGCTGAGAGGCGACCAGCTTGGCCAACGTGGTGAAACCCGTCTCTACTAAAATACAAAAAAATTAGCTGGACGCTGTGGTGTGTGGCTGTAGTCCCAGCTACTTGGGAGGCTGAGCCTGGGAAATCACGGGAGGCGGAGGTTTCAGTGAGCCAAAAACGTGCCACTGCACTCCAGCCTGGGCGACAGAGTGAGACTCTGTCTCAGAAAAAAAAAAAAAAAAAAAGGTGTGAGGCATAAAGTCTGGTTAATAGACTTGCCTAGGATCAATCCTGGGCCACATAGCATCTACTTCTGAGTTACCGTTTAAAGAAACATGCTATCAATTTTATTAATAAGGAGCTACCATTTGTTGAGTGCTTCTTATCTGTTAAAGACACTTCCTATGTATTCTTTAACACTTAAGGTAACCCTTCAAGTGATATGTTTTATCGCCGTTTTATAGATGAAGCATTTGAAGTTAAGAGAAGGTAGGAATCTGCTCAAGGCCACAGAGCTAATAATTGCCGGGCTGGGGTTTTCTTGCTCGATTACCTGCTTCCCCCAACATAACTATGTTGTGTTGGTGTCTACAGAGTATTTTGGGAACTCTTACCTGTAATGAGATAATATCTCATTACTGTAAAAAACCAGATGAAATTATGTGGTCTTGAAAAATTATCAACCGAGGATTTGAATTGTCAAATTTATGCATATTTTGAATGTTTGGGATTTCTCAGGGAAGTGCTAAGTACCCAACTAGATTCAACTGCTATCTTGCCTGTGAAGAGATTGGAGCTGACAGAGCCAGTCACTATAAATGTTTCAAATCTTGCTGGAATGAAAACTAGCTTCACTTTAAACATTGCGCAAGCATAATGGAAGTAAACGTTTTTTCACATACACTGACCTACTCATTCCACGTAATTACTCCGTGGAAATATATTTTCTTCTTCCTTGGTAATTTTTTTTATTCATTCACACTAATCATAAAATTATTCAATACATTTTCTCCCTGGCCATGAATGTTAACATCTTGGACAAAATATAAATCTTGAGATCCCAAAAAAGTTTTCTATTTTAGTTCTAGTATCTTTTTTGGCCCTTGAAGTAATATTTTTGTAATTTAAAAAAATAAGTCAGTTTTCTTTGGGCATTTTGTTATTTGCAGAGCATTCAAATAAGACATTAAATTTCGGATTTACTTATTTCAGATTTAATGAGTGATTGATGAGATCTGACTCTGTTGCCCAGCCTGGAGTGCAGTGGTGTAATTAGCTCACTGCAGCCTTGACCTCCTGGGTTCAAGTGATCCTCCCTCTTCAGCCTCCCCAGTAGCTAGGAATACAGATGTGCACCACCATGCCTGGCTAGTAAATTTCAGATTTATCACCACCTACATTGGACAAAACTACAGGGAAAGGTAATTAGAAGAAAGACGCTTTAGTCTTAAACTGAGCCTTGTGTTTACCATTATGAATGAGTCCTAGTCAGGCTTGTGGAGAAACATTTCAGATTTACTGAATACATCCTTACACCATCTGTGTTTTGCAGTTGAACCTTTATTATTTTGTTTTTGAGAGTGGATCGCTCACTGTGTTGCCCAGGTTGGTCTCGAACTCCTGGGCCTAAGCAGTCCTTCTCCTTAGCCCCTTGAGTAGCCGGGATTACAGGTGTGTGCCACCATGCCTGGCTTCAAACCCTTATTAGCTCATAAAATACTACATCAAGCTTCTGGGTGCAGAGGGGAAAGTAAACAGGATCCATGGCACCCACTCTTTGAGGACTAAAAATTGGGTTTGCCTCTAGCTTCCAAATGGAAACTTAGGAATCTATCCTGTCTGCTCTTAATTTTCTATGATTCATTGTCACTAGGCATTCTTCTTTTGGACAATTTTATGAATATTTTTCAGGCTCAGAAAGTTCTGGGGACTGATTGGCAAAATGTAATTGCATCAGGTGGTTTTCTTGTAAAGCAAGAGTTCCGTCACTAGATGGTGCAGTGGTTCTATTTTATTTTTCTCCTTGCTTTTGCCTTGGACATTACCTATGAACTGAAATTAACTGATTGTTACTTTTGGATTCATTTCCATATGATACATTTAATGTTTTTTTTCCAAAAGAAATGCACACCAGAAAATTAAATATGAGAAAAATTAAGGTTTCTTCATGTCATCACTAGCCAATGTAACTTTCCAAAGAATTATTAAGATAGGTTGTTTGCAAATTAGAAACAACCTATCAGGATTGTTTGCAAATTAGAAAATCACTTTAGTTTATGATTTTTGTAAGTCATTAATCTAGACTTTGATTTATATATTTTTCTTAAATTCCAACTCAATGCATAATGGTTTTATCTAATTTATTTATTTTACCTAGTGTATTTTATTTATTATTTAGAGAGAGTCACACTGTGTTTGGTGCCCAGGCTGGTCTCCGACTCCTAGCCTCAAGCAATCCTCCTGCCTCAGCCTCTCAAATAGCTAGGATTACAGATGCAAGCCTTGATATCTTAGTATCTAATTTAGTAGTCTACGCTTTCTTAGTGACATTTAGTTATACAGTTGGTCAACTTGGGGTTACGCACACATAGTGCAATCTGCCTTGTGTCATGAGACTCGGTTTTAAATTCCTGCTCTACCACTTAGTAATTGAACTTGTCCAAGTCATTTAACTTCTGCAACAGTCAGTTCTCACATTAGTAAAATGGAATGACATCTCATGTTGCACGCAGTGAGTGCTTAGAAAATAACCTTTGTCCCATTGCCCTCTTTCAATGTATTGTCTGCACATAGAGGGATGATGTCCTTCCAGCCTTTGCTAGAAGTTTTGGTAATAAGTTCAGGCACTTCTGTTTCAAAGACAGAGCCAGATTCTGTCCTGACAGAGAACAGTGCATTTTTAGGGAGGATTTGTTTTAGATTTAAACTGTCCCGTTGAACCCCGCACTGCTTTTGCAACAAAGCCTGCTGAGGGAAATTTTAGAAACATACCTCAGTGGGAAAGAGCCTAGTTAGAAAGCAGGATGAATAAACTTGCTCAGCTAGCAAATTCCTCGCATTCTCTAAACCAAATATGTACAAGATGAGGAAGCCAAGGCGGCCAGCATAAATGAATCCTGAAAGATGGCCGGGACTTGCCCATCAGCTGTGCACATAGTCACCAACCACTGCAGATCCTGTTGCTAATGAGCTGCTCTGCTTTGTTTACTATGCTACAGAGACAAACTATTTAGTTCAAACTCAGAGAGGGAGGGTTGGTCTTTTCAGCTCCAGAGTTCTGGTTGTAAAAGCGCGAGTTTTGTTTTCCCATAGTGTGGCCTACAGCAGCCATGGGGACACACGTGCCCCTGCACTCAGGGTCTTCAATCAGGACTGAACTTCAGACACCAGATGGCACATGCCTGTAATCTCAGCACTTTGGGAGACCGAGGCAGGCGGATCACTTGAGGTCAGGAGGTCGAGACCAGCTTGGCCAACATGGTGAGACACCCTCTCTATTAAAAATACAAAAAAATTAGCCGGGCATGTTGGCGGGCACATGTAATCCCAGCTACTTGGGAGGCTGAGGAAGGAGAATCGCTTGAACCCGGGAGATGGAAGTTGCAGTAAGCCGAGATGGTACCACTGCACTCCAGCCTGGGCAACAGAGTGAGACTCTGTTGCCAAAAAAGAAAAAAAAAAGAGGACCAAACAGATTTTCATAAAACTACACTTGGCTTACTTTTCGTGGGAATTGGTGTTGGTGGGTGACTCCAAAATGTGTTAAAAGAAGATGCTTGTGCTATCTTTGATGTGGAAAATAGGAGAAGGTACAGAGATGAGTGGGAGATGTAGGGTTGAGGAAACTACAATTTTGAGAGACTCATGACTTTTTTTTTTCTTTAAGTTCCGGGATACATGTGCAGAACGTGCATGTTTGTTACATAGGTATACGTGTGCCATGGTGGTTTGCTGCACCTATTTATTCATCCTCTAGATTCCCTTCCCTTGCCCCCCACCCACCAGCAGGTCCTGGTGTATGTCGTTCCCCTCCCTGTGTCCATGTGTTCTCATTATTCAACTCCCACTTATGAGTGAGAACATGTGGTGTTTGGGTTTCTGTTCCTGTGTTACTTTGCTGTGGGTGATGGCTTCCAGCTTCATCATGTCCCTGCAAAGGACATGATCTCATTCCTTTTTATGGCTGCATAGTATTCCATGGTGTATATGTACCACATTTTCTTTATCCAGTCTATCATTGATGGGCATTTGGGTTGGTTCCATGTCTTTGCTATTGTAAATAGTGCTGCAGTAAACATATGTGCATGTGTCTTTATAGTAGAATGATTTATATTTCTTTGGATATATACCCAGTATTGGGATTGCTGGGTCAAATGGTATTTCTGGTTCTAGATCCTTGAGGAATCACCACACTGTCTTCCACAATGGTGGAACTAATTTACATTCCCATCAATAGCGTAAAAGCATTTCTATTTCTTGAGACTCGTGACTTTTGAAAGCCCTGTGCATGTTACCTGAGAGGGGATGATATGAGACCTGGGTCTTCTCCCAGGTTCTGACCCTTTGTGCCCATGAGACCTCACATTAGACTTAATCTCTCTATGCCAATTTCTTCTTCAGTAAACCTGAAAACACATCAACTCTTTTTGCTTTCTCGTAAATGCAAGTTGAAACTTTTAACAGGACAGCATCAGTATAGACCTGTTATTCTCAGACTTTCCTAGGCCAGGACCAGTTTGGCTCCAAGCGTTTGACACTTAACATGTCCATGTAGTTCTGAGCCTTAGTCTACGTCCAGATTCATTTGAAACTTGTTTAACTTGGAGGATTTTTTGCAAGGTGAATGAGAAGGGAAGAAAATTTCAAATCTAAACTCTAACTTCTGTTTTTTTTCCCTTTTTTGCAATTCAACAAGGCAGAGGTATTATTCCAATTTTGCTGATCCAGAAACTGAGGCATACAGGTTACATGTCTTGGCCAACATCATACACAAACATATGTGTTCATATATGCACATGCAAGAATATATACACACACAGTGTCTTGATCTAAATTCAGCTTTTCACATAACTTCTGGCTTTTTTTTTTTTAAGACAGAGTTTCGCTCTTGTTGCCCAGGCTGGAATGCAATGGCGCGATCTTGGCTCACTGCAACCTCTGCCTCCCAGGTTCAAGTGATTCTCCTGCCTCAGCCTCCCAAGTAGCTGGGATTACAGGTGCCCACCACCATGCCTGGCCAATTTTTGTGTTTTTAGTAGAGATGGGGTTTCACCGTGTTGGCCAGGCTGGTCTCAAACTCCTGACCTCAGGTGATCCACCTGCCTCGGCCTCCCAAAGTGCTGGGATTACAGGCATGGGCCACTGTGCCTGGCCTGTTTTTCATTTTTTACAAGTGCCTGGAGGATATATGTAAAGCCTATATTACTGATAGGGTCATCATTGTAATAATGTTGGAATTCAACTTTTACTCTCAAACCATTTTCACATCTATAATGTCATTTTGTCCTCACAATCTGTTCTTATTTGAGGGAAAGGTAAAATGCTTTTAATAAATGAAGAAAGCCATTTACTTGGTTAAACAAAGGTCTCTTATGGGACCTGGACAGCTGTTTGAACAGATGTGCATGTGAAGAGCAGAACAGAGGTGGCCATAGCAGCCTAATTGCCTGGACTCAGGTAATCCCTAGAGGCCCAAAGGGATCCCCTTGGAAACTGGTCACTTCCTGGGTAACCCATGACTAGCTCATTTTCCTGCCACAAGGCTTTGGCTTATGACTTTTAAGAGACAGGACGTACAAAGGCCCAAATGTTCACTTGAGATCTTATTGAGGGGTTAAGTCCCGTTTGCTTCCATCAGGAATACCTTGTGAGGGAGCTCTTCAGTCATAAGAGTTACACACCCAGGTCACTCGAATGCTGATAGGATACAACTGCCACAATGCTTCATTAATATTTTTCAACTTTTACTTTAACTAAGCAGACTATTTCTGTCACAAATAAAGCAGCATGCTTCTCAGACTCTTGTTCCACCTTAACTAGTTCAATGCACACCACCAATTATCTGGACAGGAAAAGTTGCCAAATCAAAGCAAAATATGAAGGCCCGCTGGACATTTTGAGTTCAAAAAGGATGAAAGAAAACAGTACTTTTGGGATTATTGATATGGGAAGCTGTGTTTTCGAGACTGCTGTAGACTGGAGTCTGAAGTATATCCGGAGTAGTTTTGTTGGTTGTGATGGGAAAAATGAACAGTGTGCTGATTAACCTCCGAATCAGGATTAGGTCAAAACACCCCTACTCATGACATCAGGAATCTGTTTGTGTGATGTTAGAGACTGTATTGGGGAAACTATTTGAAAAGATTGAACCAAAAGTTAGATTAAAATCATGTCCATAAATAAAGACTAGCTCAACCTTATGTCACCTTCACAATGGAAGAGACAAGAGGTAGAGATAAATTGGCAAATATCCCCAAAATAATTTTTGTTTGATGTTGAAACTTGTATCACTTTACAAGCGTCACTTTCTATTTTAAAGCATTTCTATCTGAAATGTATGCAACTTTGTCTTTACCATCTCTGGAAGGGGGCAGAGGTGGTCAAGTGTCAAAGGATTTCTTCACATGTGGTGTAGGTGGAGAATTAAGACAGGAATAATGTAGATAATGTGTGTGTGTGTGTGTTTCTTTAAAGAACTGTCCCAAAAGTTAACAAAATAAGCCCTTGAAATAGGTTCTGTCATGAAAGCAGGGCTTTTTCATAAGAGAAAATGAGGACGATCAGGCTGAAAATAACTAAGAATTGGTTTATTCTTACATATCCATTCAGCATTTTTAATTCTGGAAAGTATCAGACATCAACTTGAGAAATGCCTCAGATCATTTGGTAGGATTCCAGTTTTATGATGCACATCTCAAAGAATCCTATGATTATCTTGGCTGTTACTAATCCAGTCTGGTATTCGTAACAGCTTTTGTTCAAAACTATCAAAAATTCTAGCTTTTAATACAGTAATAAATTTGGTAAAATAAAGCCTGATCTCTCTCTCTCCTCTCTCTCAAATTTTCCAATCTTCCCACTTTGTTAGCCACAATGACAAATGGGTCAGACTAAATGTAAATAGCATTTATTAAGAGTGTTCTAAAGCAGCGGTCCCCAACGTTTTTGGCAGGAGGAACTGGTTTTGTGGAAGACAATTTTTCCACCGAGTGGGGTGTGGTTTCAAGATGAAACTCTTCCATCTCAGATCATCAGGCATTAGATTCTTACAAGGAGCACACAGTCTAGATCCCTCGCATCCGCAGTTCACAACAGGGCTTGCGCTCTCCTGCGAGACTCTAATGCCGCCACTAATCTGACATGAAGTGGAGCTCAGGGTGTAGCGCTCGCTGGCCCGCCATTCACCTCCTGCTGTGCGGCCTCGTTCTTTTTTTTTTTTTTTTTTTTTTTTTGAGACGGAGTCTCGCTCTGTCGCCCAGGCTGGAGTGCGGTGGCGCCATCTCTGCTCACTGCAAGCTCCACCTCCCGGGTTCAGGCCATTCTCCTGCCTCAGCCTCCCGAGTAGCTGGGACTACAGGCGCCCACCACCCATGCCCGGCTAATTTTTTGTATTTTTAGTAGAGATGGGGTTTCACCGTGTTAGCCAGGATGGTCTCGATCTCCTGACCTCGTGATCCGCCCGTCTCGGCCTCCCAAAGTGCTGGGATTACAGGTGTGAGCCACCACGCCCGGCCTGTGCGGCCTGGTTCTTAACAGGTAACAGAATGGTACCTGTCTGCAGCCTGGGGGTTGAGGACCCCTGTTCTAAAGAACACTAACTGGGAGAGGCTCTTTTTTTTTTTTTTTTTTGAGACAGAGTCATGCTCTGTCACCTGTCGCCCAGGCTGGAGTGCAGTGGCGCGATCTCCGCTCACCGTAAGCTCCGCCTCCCGGGTTCACGCCATTCTCCTGCCTCAGCCTCTAGAGTAGCTGGGACTACAGGGGCCCGCCGCCACGCCCGGCTAATTTTTTTTGTATTTTTAGTAGAGATGGGGTTTCACCGTGTTAGCAAGGATGGTCTCGATCTCCTGACCTCGTGATCTGCCCGCCTCGGCCTCCCAAAGTGCTGGGATTACAGGCGTGAGCCTCCACGCCCGGCACCCGGGAGAGGCTCTTAAGAGAAAGAATTCCCTGGCCAAGGAATTCAAATAAGCTGGATAAAACTTGCCTTCTGTATTCCTGTCTTAGAGATTCACAATTCCCACGTGTATATTGAAGACCATGGAAAGCTCTGAGTTATAATCCTATTTGGCTCTGTTTAATTTCCATAAATACTCTTTTAACAAATCAACATCAGTAGGAGGAATGTCCCTAGTTGATTCTGTGGTCTTCCAGGAAGCGCTTGCAAGCATATTTTTAAAGTTCTTCCTGGTCCCCATCCCAAAGGTCTCTGGCCCATCACACTACACCTGAGCTAGGTTTTGACATCTAAGTTTTTCTATTTTTGTTTTGAGCCCAGGCTGGAGTGCAGTGGCACGATCTCAGCACACTGCGACCTCTGCCTCCCAAGTTCAAGCGATTTTCCTGCCTCAGCCTCCCGAGTAGTTGGGACTACAGGTGCGCACCATCACACCCAGCAAATTTTTACATTTTTAGTAGAGACAGGCTTTTACCATGTTGACCAGGCTGGTCTCGAACTCCTGACCTCAGGTGATCCACCCGCCTTGGCTTCCCCAAGTGCTGGGATTACAGGCATAAACCACCGCACCCGGCTGACATCTAAGTTTTTATCTAAGTTTGTAATCCCACTGCTCAGTGTTGTTTCTCTTTAGCCTGCCAATATTTACTGACCTGATTTCTCATCCTCTGCCTGGCCCCTGGGCTCCAAACCCTTCCCGGCCCTATGATGTCATGTTTGGCAGATTTCTGTCTGGAATTTCCTAACTTGGGTGTCCTTCTGGGGCTTCCCAGACCCAAAACCCAAGGCTGGCACTCGCTACCCATGGCCCAGGTAGTCTATGAATGTGGTACCCTCATATAAAACCCAAGTTTGCAACTGGCAAATGTCAAATGAGAGGTCTGGGCCGAATGTCACAGGGTTCCACGGAAGGGAGCAGCTGCAGGGGTCTGGGAAGGTCAGGGACAGCTTCACAGATGACTTGGCAATGGGACAGGCTTCAAGCTATGAGTTTCTGAAGGCAGAAGTGGTGGCTTATCATGAAGAGGGAACATCCAGATGTGGACACTCAGGTGAAAGAGCACCAGAAACCCACACACTGGGGGTCAGAGTATGTGGAGGGAGTTATGAAAAAGTGAGGCCACAGTGGGAAGCAGTGGGAGGCAGGACTGAGAGGTAAGCAGGTGCCAGCCCAGAGCCCTGAACTCCAGGAGAAAGGGCTGGAATTGTATCTTACAGGCAGTTGAAACTTTTTGAAAAAGAAAAGTGTACCTCCATCTGAAATTAGAGGGCAGGCAAGGAATGGGGTACAGTTGTTGGTTCTAACATTGTTTTAGTGTCTGCTTTTTAGACCCAGTGGGAAAGAATGAGGGATTTCCAGTCAGAATCTTCTATCGAATTCCACCTTTGCCACTTAGGAGCTGAATCATCTTAGGAACGACTTCATCTCATTGAGTCTCAGTTTCCTCACTGAAGTGATTTCAAAGCTACCTCATCAGGTTGTCGTGAGGCTTAAAGCTTGTAAAGTAACGGTGGTGCTGGGACAGAGCCAGTCTATAGACATACTTAAGTGGTGCGCTAGCAGACCATTCTAATCGACATCATTCCCCTCGACACTGGCAGGCACGCTGTCTGGTCAAATGCCTGCCTTTTCTGGAATCCCTGAACCTCGCTGTTCTGTTTGCCTGCAATAGAGAGGGTGCTGTTGCAAAAGTTTTACTCCTTTTACAATTTTCATTCATGTTTTTTGAGACAGGGTCTCCCTCTGTCACCAGGCTGGAGTGCAGTGGCACAGTCACAGCTCACGGCAGCCGCGACCTCCAGGGCTCAGGTGATCCTCCTTGCCTTAGCCCCCAGAGTAGCTGGGAGGACAGATGCACACTGCCACACCTGGCTAATTTTTAAATGTTTTGTAGAGACGGAGTCTCATTCTGTTGCTCAAGCTGGTCTCAAAACTCCTGCGTTCAAGCGATCCTTCTGCCTTGGCCTCCCAAAGTGCTGGGATTACAGGTGTGAGCCACCAGTCCCGGCCCATTTCTCCTTCTTAATCTGAACTGCTGGTAGCTGTTGATTTGAGACCCTCACCGGCACATTATTCTTCATTAGCATTAAGGTTAACTGCCGTCAACAGGCAGAAGCAGCCACCTGGGCTGGCTCTTGAGTAAGACTTCTTGAAACCCAATCTGCCTAATTACCTCCTGTGCAAAAAGGCAGGTCAAAAGGAGGTGAAACCAATTGACCTCAACATGGCAGGTTTTGCCTAGAGCCTGAAACAAGAATTCCCTTTGTAGCTTCTCTTTTTCTTCTTTTTAAAGTTCATTAACTGTGGGAGAGACTGCCTGATGGGAATTCTCCTTAATGTTTCTTATCTGGGCACAAGTCGAGGCCCAAGGCATTACAGATAAGTAAAAGTAAACTCTTATGTATTGAGAATTTGAAACTACAAAACACAAGTAGTTATTACAAGCCAAACATTTATTTATGTCCTTTGGTCTATTAGTTCTATCCTTATCCGATCTCTTGTATAAAGTTAATTTTCACCACCCAGTCCCCTGGCCCCTGCCATGCCCATCCCAGCCTCTCTCTGGACCGAAGGCACTGTTTTGCTTTCTTTTCATTGGTGGCTCCTCCATCACATGTCCATGGGGGTTCTGGCCTCTGAACCTGCTCCTGGACCTTTCACCTTCCCCAGGCACCACACCCAGCATGGCGGCCTTCTGCAGGCGAGGCTGCACCTGGACTGGGTTCCTGGGAAAGATTTGAGTAGGTTCTGAGTCACGAGGGAAGAAGCCAATGGAGACAGAAGGAAAGTGAGAGAGAGAGAAGAGTGGGAGAGATTGACTGTTGGGGTGAAGTCTCAAAGCAGAGACGAGGGGAGGAGATAGGGGAGGAAAGATAGGGGAGGAAAGCCTGGCCCTGATGGGACATCTATTCAATGGCGTGTTCCAGTGACATGAAGCAAAGGGGATGAGACTGAGCGTGGCTGAGGACAGGTAAGTGGTATTGATACAATACCAATGTTCCATTATTACAAAACGACTACACACACTCACACACACCCCACGTACTCACAGTGGAGAGCGGCCCTGGCCCCTGCCCCTGCCCAAGTGAGAGCGCTGGGGACAAGACACGCTCCTGCTCTTGGTTTACAGACTTGCTGTCAGTTTCCTGGTGTGGCTGTGAGTTATGCTTTTTTTTTTTTTCCTATGAGTACTGGGGTAATTTTCATAAAGAGCATTTCTAGTCCTACATTTTAATTCTCATTTTTCCCAGAAGCCCAAATCTGGCTAAGATATTTAAAGGCTGTATTTTACCCCTGGAACTTCCTCTGATCACCTGCACTTATAATAAAATCTCAGCTCCTTCACACCAACTTGGTATCTTCAGGACAGGGATTGCCTTATTGGATTTATAGGGATGTGTCTAGAGGCTTTAGGCCAAGAAGCAAACTAAAAATATCTAGATCAATTAATAATATATGGAGCAAATAATTTGTTCTTATAAATTGGTGGGAAGGTTCTCATGAATTAGCTGTGAGTAAAACATTTTTCTTTGTTGTATTAAAAACGTTAAATAGCTTACTCTGCACTAAGACTTTTGGGATACATTATAACCATATTTTATAAACTGTAGATTAGATAACAGTATTGTCTCAATGCTAAATTTCCTGAATTTGATAACTATACTGTGGTTATGTAGGAGGATACCCTTGTTCTCAGGCAAACACTGGTATATTCAGCAGTGAAGAGGAATGATGTATGTAATCTACTCCTGAATGCTTTAGGGGAATAAAAATATCTACCTATGTATCTATCTATAGAAAATAATTAGCCAAATGTAGCCCAATGTTGACACCTGGGTAAAGAGGATATGAGAGTTCTTTGTATTATTTCAGCAACTTTTCTGTATCTTTCAAATTATTTCAAATAAAAACAAAATATCTAAGTGTATACACACATATATTTATAGCACACATATATAGAATGGCTTTTAAAGTATATTTATACAAATTATATATATATTTATAATACACAAGGTAATATATCCAAAGTTTGAATTTAACCTTAGATTGAGTTAGCTCCAGCTGGCGTTTACAGTCAAAAAGCTGAGGGAGGCGGGTGATTCTAGTTTGGAGTTTATTTGAAATCTGCAGTATGTATTGGGGTGGCTGCCTCCTCACCAGGCCTGCCTTGTCAGGAAATGCGGGAGCCTTGAGAGAGACCCCCTGAGTTTCCCATGGGGAGCTGAAGTTTGGTTCCTGCCTCTCACTGTGCATGGGTAAGAACGACGTCATGGGGTGGGAACAAGTGAGAGCCCCTTTCCCTTCCTCTGCAAAATGCAAGCTAAAGCAGCTTATCTGCAATTGCCAGAGACAACCACTAGGTTATTTTTACATGAAAACTCCTTTGTCAACAAGTCTTCAGAACCTTGGAATTCAAATGAGTGAACTCATAATATAAAAGGCATCTGAAAAGGTATCAGCTTGCGGCTCCTGGTAAGTCAGGGAGTGCTCTGCAGTAGACCAAGAGTTAAGATGTGGAGATTCTTTTTTTTTTTTTCTTTTTCTTTTTTTTTTTTTTAAAGCCTTTTTTCACGCCAGGCGCAGTGGCTCATGCCTGTAATCCCAGAACTTTGGGAGGCCGAGGTGGGCGGATCACGAGGTCAGGGATCAGGACCATCCTGGCTAACACGGTGAAACCCTGTCTCTATTAAAAATAGAAACAAATTAGCCGGGCGTGGTGGCGGGCGCCTGTAGTCCCAGCTACTCGGGAGGCTGAGGCAGGAGAATGGCGTGAACCCAGGAGGCAGAGCTTGCAGTGAGCCAAGATGGCACCACTGCACTCCAGCCTGGATAACAGAACGAGACTCTGTTTCCAAAAAAAAAAAAAAAAGCCTTTTTCAAGTTGACAAATAAGAATAATATATATTTATGGTGTGCAATATCACGGTTTGATAGATGTATGCTTTGTGCAATGGCGAAACCAAGCCAATTAACATATGCATTGACTCATCTACAGTCAGGTGTGGCTTAACCACAGATACTTTCTGAGAAATGTGTTGTTAGATTCTGTCCTTGTGCAAATATAGAGTGTACTTTTTTTGATAAGTAGGAGTACACTCTATAACCATAATAAAAAGTACAGCATCATACATAATAAGCCAGTAGCAGAGTTGTTTATTTCCACTATCAAGTATTATGTAGCATACATCATTGTATGCGGTAGACCGTTACATGACTGGCAGTGCAGCAGATTTGCTTACATCAGCATCGCCACAAACACCAGTAATGCCTTGCCCCATGTCACTAAACCATAGAAATTTTTCAGCTCTTTGACAGTCTTATGGAACCACTGTCATGGGGGGGTCCATCATCGAACAAAACGTTGTTATTTAGCACATAACTGTACTTATTTATTTGTGGTGAGAACACTTACAATCTACTTTCTTAGCAATTTCAAGTGTATTAACTATAATCACCATGTTATCAGATCTCTTGAAACTCATTCCTCTAATTGAAGTTTTGTATGTTTTGACCAACATCTCCCTAATCGCCTCTCCCCTGCCCCCCAGCCCCTGGTAACCTCCATTCACTCTGCTTTTATGAGTTAGACCTTTTTGGATTTCCCATAGAAATGAGGTCTTGTGTTTTGCCTTCCTGTGTTTCACTCAGCACAGCATCCTCCAGTCTCATCCATGTTGTCACAAATGGTAGGATTTCATTATTTTATATGGCTGAATAGAATTCCACTGTGTGTGAATATACCTCATTTTCTTTATCCATTCATCCATTGATGGACTCTTAAGTTGATTCCATATCTTGGCCATTGTGAATAGTGCTGCAATAAACAGGGGAGGGCAGGTATGCCTTTGACATAGTAGTTTCATATTCTTTGAATATATATCCAGAAGTAGGAGTACTGGATCATATGGTAGTTCTACTTTTAATTTTTTGAGGAATCTCCATATTGTTCTCCATAGTGGTTGTAATAGTTTACATGCCCACCAACAGCATGTAAGTTTCCCTCGTGAGACATGGAAATTCCTGTCCTGCCCCTTGAGACAGTTGGGGACTTCAGCAAATGCCTTTACCTCTTTATCTCAGTCTTTTTCTTTTCTTCCCTTCCTTTTTCTTTTTCCTTCCAAGCTTTGACATGTCAGGGACAGATCAGATGATCTCTGCCCAGTTCTATAAACTCTGTGGAGAGTCATATCATGTTGACACAAAGCTCCTTATGGGAGGAGACGATCCTGAGAAAAACAGGTTAAAAACAAGCAGAACTCAGCTTTTACTTTCATCCTCCCCTGGGCACATCTGCTGTCTACCATTCACTCCTGCATTCTCGGGTTTTGTAGCCTTAAAAGAAATTCCCATGGGAACCACTTTTGGGCTGAAGGATGTTCTCAAAACACAAAAGACCTTGAAACAAAAAAGGCATGCTACTTTTTAATATTTAAATAAAAATATTTTTAATGGCAAAAAGAAAAAAGAAACTCTCCTTGACTAGGAAATAGAAACAGGTTGAAAGTTTCATTGGATAAGAGAAGAATTTGGCATCCTGATGGCAAGGGTTGGCTTCAGGCACAATTGTGATGGGGGTGAGATTGGTCTTCAGCAGCCCCTACCTCCAGCACCCTGGCCTTCAGGAACCCATGGCCCCAGGTTCCCTGTCCAGAGCACAGCCCCCAGGCCCACCCTCCCAGTCCCCTGGCAATGCCCAGGGATGCAGCTTGTTCTCTAGCCAGGGTTGGTGACAAAACATGTCCGAGAAAAAATTATTCCTGACACTTGTTAAAGAATGGTAAGGCAGACTTTATTCAGCAGGACTATCGAGGTAGGTATCAAGACTACCACAGGGGGGTTTTGCAGTGGGCATGAGAGATTGGGCTCAGCTCTTAGTACACAAGGTCAGCGGACGAAAAATTCCTAGAGAAAACATCAAAGGTAACAGGAGATTCTGCTAAAGTAACCTAGCAGGATTCTGACTGAAGACAGACCAGTGTGATCACATATCACCTAGGAGACGGTGGAGACGAGGAACCTGGTGAGATACCGAGGATGGGAGATTCCGGCTAAACAGATTTAGCAAGATTCTTGCTAAATTGGGCAATGCAAAGACTGACACGGAAGTCCAAAGGTCAAGGCATAGTTGAGAAGAGAGTTCAGAGGATCCTCCTACAGTTTGGTCAAAGAAAGAATCTTGGTCACATGGCTAGTAACTGTTTACCGAGAGAAGAAGGTGAATAGGGCTAAATGACAAGAATGAGCTACTTCTTAGAGATAGATCCTTTCATTTTATAAACTCTTTGGTACTGACAAAGAGTTGCTCCATGACCAAAATTTAGTTAGGCTCCTCTAAGCCCTCTTTTTCATTAGGCCTTGACCGTGGCCCCCCCAATCCTTGTTCTGTCCAGACAAATTTTAGCAAAGAATCCTGCTATGTCGGTTTAGCCAGAATCTCCCTCCTGCTGAGGTCTCCTCTTAGTAATTCCTAGTCACTTTCCCCCTCACTCTGTTCCTTGCTGTAAATCCCTGCATATCCTTGCTGCATTTGGGGTTGAACTAAATCTCTCTCTCCTATTGTAATAGTTTTGAATATAGTCTTCCTTGCCATAATGACAAGTGTCAGCATAATTTTTTCTTTAACAGTACCCATTAAGTTCCAGGTCTTATTTTTACTTAGATAATCAGACTGAGGCTGACCTGGAAGCACGGAAGGGTCTCACGGGGACAGGGTGTGCTATGGAAAGACAGGCACGCAAGCAGATAAATGATAAGTTGAGTACCATGACGGTGGTAGGAGTCAGCTGCTATGAGAACCTAGAAAACAAAACAACTAATCCCAAGCAGGTACACTTTGAGCTGTGTACTACAGAATGAGTAGGGCTGGGTGCGGTGGCTCACGCCTGTAATCCCAGCACTTTGGGAGGCCAAGGTGGGTGGATCACGAGTTCAGATGTTTGAGACCAGCCTGACCAACATGGTGAAACCCCATCTCTACTAAAAATACAAAAATTAGTAGGGCGTGGTGGCATGTGCCTATAATCCCAGCTACTCAGGAGGCTGAGGCAGGAGAATCGCTTGAACCAAGGAGGCGGAGGTTGCAGTGAGCCGAGATGGCACCACTGCACTCCAGCCTGGGCAACAGAGTGAGACTCCATCCCAAGAATGAGTAGAATTTCACCTGGTAGAGAAATGGAGGAAAGAGCATTCCAGGAAGAGAAGGTTGAGTAGAGATCTTCCATGTTTTGGCCCAAAAAAGTGATTCTGCCAGTAGGAATTCCAGGTACCATTTGGGGCACCCCTCAAATTGTTATACCAGGGGCACAGCTGCTGTTCCTATCCATGGGCCATCAGGTGCCCCATCACACCTGGGGTCCTGCCTCAAGGAAAACCCCCATTTCCATCCCGCATGACACAGGGCCCTGCCTCTGCTCTCGTAAAGGGGTTTACTAAAAAGGAACTCGGGCCCTTTGGCTTAAAATGTCAAAGAGAGGTTGGACTCTTTCCTTAAAAATAAAATATTTCATTTGGTTCTTCCGAAAGTTACTGATAAGACCAAAAAGGGTAAAGCAGGGAAGGAAGAGTGAGAAGACAAACATTGGCACCAATGCCTGGAAAACG
This sequence comes from Homo sapiens, assembly GCF_000001405.40. Taxonomy (NCBI): domain Eukaryota; kingdom Metazoa; phylum Chordata; class Mammalia; order Primates; family Hominidae; genus Homo; species Homo sapiens. The sequence continues at coordinate 11,600,409 of NC_000006.12, forward strand.
ATTCCCTGCGGGTGGAAAATGCTTCGGTCATTTCTCCCAGGCAAGGCTGGAAGCAAAGAAATCATGAACAGAAGTGCATGGAAAATCCGAGCAAAATATTTTTAGCTGGTTGACCTTTTAGTAAGAGTAGTATCTCCTTTAAAAGAAAAATTATCGAAAGAATGTTATGTTACTAATACTCAGAAGGGAGGAAGGGAGGGGGCTAAGCCAGAAGTCAGAATATTCAAGCTTGCGTGGACTTTTGGGGGGCCTAGGTGCCCAGCAGCTCATCCTTCTGAACCAGGCAGTATCCAATCATTGCTAGCATCTGGCATTCCCATGTTGAAATGTGTCTGTGGAACCAGCTCTGGATTCTCGAAATATTCCCATATGGCTCCCTCCCGCCCTTTCCCGCCTCCTTCTTCCCTTCTTCCCATTCTTCTTCCTTCTTTCCCGTCCTCCTTCCAGACCTCCCTAACTTGATTCCGCTGAACCTGGGTGGATTGCTTTGCCGGAATAAACTCTGACCTAATCCCACTCTGGGCTCTGCAAAATTCTCTGCTGACTGGTTCTTTCTCAAAATACTCCACTGTCCCTCAGACAAAGTCAACTCCAAGTAAAATTATGGAGCATACAAGGCTTCATTTTGTTTTGGTTCCCGTCTACCTTTCCTTTTTATAGGCTTTTCATCTCCATTTCTTTTCCCTCTCATCCTAAAATCTCAAGTACTCAGTGTTCCTGTCGCTTGAAGTCCTCACTGTAGCAGTCTGTCCAGTTCCACTCTGTTTTCCAAAATGGCCTATCCCAGTCACCTTCCACCACTCTCATTCCCTGGGATAGCTGATATTGGCTAATTTTTAGAAACAGGCAGAGGGTCAAGGCAATCCACAATTGCCCACAACTGACCTCCCTCTTTATGTGCTGCTTTTCCCATTTTGATATCTCCCCCCAGCATTATTGAGGTATGATTGACAAATAATTGCATATATTTAGGGTGTATGACATGATGTTTTGATATCTGTACACATGGTGAAATGATTACCGCCATCCAGCTAACCCATCCATCACTCAACCTAGTTACTATTTCTTCCCATTTTGATTTTAAAGGCACATTTCTTTCTTTTCTTTTTTTTTTTTTTTTTTTTTTGAGACGGAGTCTCGCCCTGTCACCCAGGCTGGAGTGCAGTGGCACAATCTTGGCTCACTGCAACCTCCACCTCCCGGTTTCAAGCGATTCTCCTGCCTCAGTTGCCCAATTAGCTGGGATTACAGGTGCCCGCCACCATGCCTGGCTAATTTTTTGTATTTTAGTAGAGACAGGGTTTCACTGTGTTGCCCGGGCTGGTCGCAAACTCCTGAGCTCAGGCAATCCACCCGCCTTGGCCTCCCAAAGTGCTGGGATTACAGGCATGAGCCACCGTGCCCGGCCTTAAAGGCACATTTCTAATAGTGAAATAGGAAGTTCTAAAGTGGTAACACATTTTCTGCATGCACCTCATTCTATCCATCATATAGGGAATTTCCTGCTGTTCCTTTCTGTTAGGCTGGCTCCAGCCATGCCTGGGGTCATGACTTCCAAGAGACTCACAGCTGGGTCCTGGGTCGGGGGCGTGGGCCTCAGGGTTGAAAGCTAGATGGGGGAACAGGTATCAGGTTACAAAGGTAAGGTTGGGAGTGGGCAGGCTGTCCCTGCAGGGAGCAACCTGGAGGTCTGACTTTGCTGTTGGACCAACTCTTGGAATGGATACAAGTCTTTTCCTTTTCTCAGAAAGTCTTAGTCTTATTGTGTTCACTCTTCCCTGGACGCTCAAAGTTAAGCTGTTAGAAACTAGTGAGCCTTCAGGGCATGTGTGCTTTTATTTTAAAGGCTCTGTGTGGTCCAGACCTCCCATGTATATTCCCATTCTCTTCTGTTTAACCAGACAGGGACTTCCAAACCTTTTTCACTCTTGCCAGACCCAGCGCCACATCTACTGCTGCCCCTCACCTGACCTTACTTGGCAAATGCCTCTGACTCATCCAAGAGGGACTCTGCAACCTGTCTCACCACACTGAATGTTTGCTGTTCTTACCTGTCCCTTTCTCCTTTAACTTTTCAGGAATGATGTCTTCCTCTTCCTCTTACAGGAGAATGTCCCCTTTGTCCCTGAACTTGAGCATTGGTCCTCCTACAATCTCCGTTGATTTTGTCCCATGACCTGTGTCTTCCATTGCACTGTGACTCTCTCGCTACAGATTATGAATAGTCTCACATCTCCCTAGACTCCTACACTGGAAAAAGAAAACCCAAGCCTCCTTCTTCCTTTGATCTACCAGCACATCTTCCTCCTCCCTCCCAGGGCCACCCTTCTTGGAGGTGGAGTGTCCACTCCCAGCCCACACCTGCAGAAGCCTCACCCTCACTCTCTCTCACCGACTTCTTCCACCTCAGCCTTCCTGGATGCCTGGACCAAAGGACGTTTCCTCAATCATGATCCTCCCCCTCCCCATGCCACGTTAGCCTCCCCTTTTTCAAACTGTGTTTCCCGGGCTGCAGTGGCACTTCTCTGCCTTGATTTTTCTCATACCCTTGAAATCATTCCTGTGTCTTCTTTCCTAATCTTCCTGCCCTTCCCACTCCCGCTTCTTTCCAAATGTACAGGCTTTGTTCATTTTCTCTATATGTACATTCTAGCCTTATTTTTCTTTCTTCTTTGGACTTTATCTGTTACCTCTGCGAATGGCCCCTGGAAGTGGGGATGATATCAGTGGGTGTGCACCAGCCCAGCTGTGCCCATTGTTCACAGTATGCCCATTTCCATGGCTATTGCCTGTGCCTTACTGGTTATTTGATATTTAGAATATTTGTCCTGCCTAGGAGTCCTTCCTCCAAGATACCTCAAAATCTGTAATTATATAAGACAGGAGAGGTTCTGAAGCAACAGCTATGAGTCAAGAAAAATAGCCACTCAAAAGACTTTTCATTTAGTTCATTTAGTAAGAATTGCTTCTTTGAGATCCTGCTCACAAGGCCTGGGTGACAAAAGCCCACTTCCCCACCCTCTTCTGCTCCTCTCTCCCAATGGAAGTCACTTCTTCCTTCTTTGTGCTCCTACAGCACTTTATTTGGGTCTGTAATTACACATCATTATTAATAATGTACACTCTGCCCTTTATTATTTGTGTATGTCTGTCTTTATCTCTGCAATGACTATTGGTTTTTCATTTCCTGTAGTGATTTAAAATACGTACCCATCATGGGATACATGTTGACTGAATCCACCTGCATTGGGATGACTGCTGCAGAAGGCATTGACTCTGTTTCATCCCTGCACTTATTTGGGCTCATGTGCAATGCTGAGCTACCCAGAGGACATCTGTGTGAGTTCCAGCAGCAGCAGCCAATCAGCTAATCATCCTTTTTCCAGTGCCAGGCGAGGTTGACTGGGACCCTGAGTTTGGTTCTACCGTTTGGAAATAACACAGAGGATTACTTCTTGGGGTCTCTCAGCCAACCAAAGTCACTTCTTAAGACTGGGCCTTTCTACAGAGGAATCTTAGGAGCAGAGGCTCTTAGATCAGATGAGAAAAGGGTGATGGAGAATCTGGTTTTCCTTCTCAGATCGTTCCTTTCAAGTCCCATCCTAAAGACTTCACCAACGCTGAGGTCCAACTATCCTGATCAGAATTCAAACCAGGTTCCCATGAGCACTGGCTCATCCACAAAGTTAGTAGGCTTGGTAATGGCCAGGCCTTGAATTCCCAGAGTCTTGGATTGACCCAACCAGGGAGTAGTTGGAGAGACACATGACAAGGGCCATGCCCTGGAAAGCTGGGCCAGAGCACCTATCAGTTGATCACAATTGCAGGGCATGAGGTGAGAGAGAAAAGTAACAGAGTAACCAAGAAGTCGCCCTCCTAAGTTGGAGCAAGGTACCAAATGACCTAAAGTATTGGGGTGGCAGGACTGACTGTGCAGGGCACCCTGTCTGGGGCTGATGGACTGGACATAGAAGGATGAGGAAGTTGTCAGCACCAGAGAGTTGATGCTTATCTCCAGGAGATCAGCTGGGTGGTACGGGGCTGACCATAGAGTTAGGACGGGTGCTTCCTCACAGGGTAGCATGGAAGAGAAGGTTTTATTGCAGTAAGAAATTTAATCCCCTGGCAAAAGCAGTAATACCAGGATGACTTAAACTAGCTGGTAAAGTGGGAAGGAGGGAAGGGAGATGGAAGGGGTGAGGACAGACGGATCAGAATTTGTGCTTTGGGCAAGTCATACATACATACGATTTTGTGGATTTTGTCATGGTTAGAGGCAGGAGGGCCGTGATCAGCAGGTTTTCACTATTACGCGGGTCCCTAGACACATTCTTGACTTTCAAAATTTCATCACAGATATGTGAAAGATTCTGTGGAAGAATATAATAGCAAAAAAAAGAAGAAGAAGAGGGAGGGGAGAGGAGGAGGGGGAAGGAGGAGGGGGGAGGAGAAGGGGAGAGGAGAAGGGGGGTAGGGGGAGGAAGGCGAGGGGGACGAGGAGGGGAAGGGGAGGAGGGTGGGGGAGGAAGAGCGGAGGGGGAGGAAGGGGGGGTGAGGAGGGGGAGGAGGAGGAGAAGAAGAAAGAAGAGGAAGAAGAAACAGCAAACTAAGGATTCTGCCTCTAAACTGACAGTAGTCAATTTTTATCAGCTTCCAGAAGCTTCTTTTTTTGAATACTCAGTTAAACATGCATCACCTTTGTTTTAGGAACTTGGAATAGAAAACAGAGTACAAAGAACTCATCAGAACACCACAGACAGGACCTCTTGATCACTGGAGAAGCTATTCAGGCAGCCACTGTCCCCAGAGAACCCCAGGAAAGAACAAAAACAGGGGTGTCATTTTGGAGCCTTCAGTCAAGAATCATCTCCTGTTCTTGGCTGGGCTGCCATGAGGGTGGGGTGCACACAGAGCCCTGGGAAAGGAAGAAAACACGGTTGCAACACCACTATTTTGTTTCTTCTAACACCCTCCTTTTTCCCCACTCACATTTGAGCACTTACGGGCATCATTTGTTCTAAAACAAAGGAAGAAAAATATATCTGTTATGAGTTCCCTCTGTGCTTGACTGAGTTACCTGGCATTGGGATGGCTTGTTTTCTGGGATGCCCAGAGCTGTACACATTCCTTTCTGGGGTGAATACTTCGTATAGAGAGACATAAACAGCCAACTAGGCTGCAGGGAGTAAACCCTGTTACTAACTTTTCTTTCTTTGGTGCTACATTCCTGCGGAGATAAATATATAGAAAGACAGACAGATTATAAAGGAGGAAGGGCATTGTGTCAGCATGAGGGCTCCAAGAGAACAAAAAGGGTTATCGTGTGCAAAGGTTGAAAATAGAATTTAAAGCTATCAGGACTGGGGAAAGAGTTGAGGCCTCCCAGGAAAAATCTGCAAAGAAAACTTGAACCTTCCAGGAAAACAAGCCCTGGGTAGAGTTGGGTGAAACTGAAACCTGAAAATCCATTTTCCAGAAATGCGATTGGGCAGAGAGGAGGGAAGCCACTACTATCAAGTTTTTCCCAGAGCAAGCAAGGCACGCTGGCTTTGTACAAAGAGGCTTATTTAGAAGCTGCCCTGAGCTGAATGCAGGCAGGTGGGGCAGGGTGGGAGGGTGGGATGGGTCGTTGAAATGAGCCATCCTAACCTTTCAGACAGAAACAGTGCAGCCTAGCTGCTCTGAGGTGCATGTTTCTAAAACAAGACCTGGAACATTAATTTTACATTTCAGTCTCTTTGTAAAAAGCAGATGCTCCTCGCCCACCCCCTTGTTTTTTTTTGGCAAGCTTGTGAAAATCCAACGAACCAAGTCAAGGCTGTCCGCTAGCCACGGGTGCCTTTATCTTGTGGAGTATCTGTTCCTTTGTGGATCAAGCATGGAATGAAAACCGTGCTGAAGAAAGGTCGCTTCTCATTTTAGACTCCATTTCAATGGGTAGTTAACCTCTGAGTCAACCGACTCTGTACCCATGTTCAATTTCCTCCGCCTGTTGGGCTCTTCCATTTACCCTCTTTTATAATTAGAGTACATCTTGTTTACAGTGCACAAAGCTGGTTTAAGATCCAGTTGGCCATGTGCCCTCTCGTTACAGGACCGTGCTCAGAACAGTCAGCTGTGAGTGCAGCCAGTGGGATGAAAAAAACTAAGGGAAGGAAGCTGCCCTTTAAGGAACCTCGGCCTTACTGATTAAAGTAATAATTAAGCCATTATATCTGTTGGGGAGCTATTTGGGCTTGCCTGCTACCTTTTCCAACAAAAGCCCTCAGCCAGAGATTCCAGCCAAGCACCTCATTATCATGTGGGTGCCAGGGCGGCATGCCAGGATCGGCACCCACCCCAGGCAACATGGTTTAAATTTTAAACACCTGTCATCTCCCTGCCTCCATGTATCATTCATTTTCAGAGGGGAAAGTGACCCTAACAGGAAGTGGGGCTGCCTGATTCTGGGTTTGCCTTTGAAAGCCAGAAATGACCCTTCTCCTGAAATTTTATTCCAAATTTAATTTGAAGCTATCTCAGTCTAGAAATAGATTTGCATTGGCATCTCTTGTTGCAGTTGGTAAGGAAAGGAATTTAGGATTCAATTAGAATTGGTCTTCATTCTTAACAAGATTGTTGTCTTAAAGACAAGAAATATATAGCATGTCTCACTGCATCCCTCCACTCCCCACCATGGCAAAAAGGGCCCTGGCATGCATATGTGATTTTGTGACATGCAAAGATCCACTTTTACAACTCCATGGAGGCATATCTTATTTAGAGAACACTAAGGTAGTTTAAGGCTCTCACTGGCCACTTGCCTTCTTAAAACAGAGACAACCTATGGATTAGAGAGGAAGCAAGACTGGAGAAGGCAGTTTGCACCGATTGGGGCAGGGCAGGTAGAGGAGTGAGCATGGTTGTAATAAACTGGGTGGAATTTAAGGTCTCAGTCCAAAGGCATCCCATCTTGCTCCTTCTGGACCCCGTCTCAAGCCTGGCTCCAGCTCCTGAGTCCCACGGCTCTCCAAGGCCTCTTTCTGTTCATCACAGCCTACGGAGAGAGATGCAAAGTGGTTTGTGTTTATTTTAGAAATAATCTCAACGTTGCCAGGAAAAGGCTTTCTGGAAAATGCTGCAGAACTAAAGCTGGTCCAGTAGAAACCGGTGTAAGTGCAAAGAGCAGAGCCAGCTCCTCCCCAGCTCTTTCCCCAGGCTGTTCTTCCTGCTTTTTGATCTCAGCCTCACTCTACTCCATCCCTTCTTGATCCAAGTCCAGAGTCTCTTTCACACCAGCCACGCTGCCAGCATTGTCGGGAGGTTTGATGTGGTGTGAATTCCTGCCCCTGGGAGATGGACGGAGAAATTCACAGAATCTTGGGAAAAGAGAGCTTGGGAAAATCCTGAAGTCTCTCTTTGCAGCCTTTCTTCTACCAACAGACAAGATGGAAACTGGCCATTTCAGAGCACTGGCTTCAAGGATGTCTAAGGGTAGAGATTCCTTGGGCTTGTGGGCAGGGGCTCATTTCTGTGTGTTGTTCCAGATGGTCCAGGTTCTTCTGTCTGTCCCATTAAAATGTATCCTTCTTGACACCCGTGATGGCCCTTTTGTCAAATCCTAATTGTATGTTTGTGGGTTTGAGTTTTCTATTCTCCAGAAAGTACCATGTTAATACCAATCCAGTCTTCCATTTAGGTCCACATTAATCAGAAGTATTCACTGGTGTCTGGTAAATATCTGGTGTTTTTGAATTTTGGAAGTGAGGCTAGATGCATTTATTCATTCAAAATTAATTTTGAGTGTCTAGTATGTGCCAGTCACTGCTTTGTGTACTTGGGGAACAAGGAAACAACAAAAAATTGTTCCCTTCAAAGCTCTCATTATAAGGGAGAGGGGAGTGTGGGATACAGATTGCCAACAGTAAAGAATAGATAAACCGCATACATTAGAGTCTTAAGCCCCACAGCAAAAAAGAAGAAACTGGGTGTTCTGGCCTGCAGCCGGGACAGTAGAGAGAAGATTGCATTGAAGTTTCCAAGTGCAATTTTACTGAACCAGTGAGAAAAATGACAAGAGTTTCTATTTCTTCCAATGAAGAATGGGTCTTACCTATAAACAAGTGTTAGAAGATATATGTGCATATATCCACCCGTCATCTTACTACTTGCAGACTTAGATTCTGTAGACATTTATATCTATAAAATGATACTCAGAATATTATTTCATAATTATGTAAATTATTATGTATACATTATATATGTGTACAGAATATTATTTCATAATTATGCAAATTATGTATACATTATATATGTGTACACACACATATAATCATACTATTATACATACACAGTTATGTGCTGCTTAACAATGAGGATCTCTTCTGAGAAATGCTTCATTAGGTTATTTCATCGTTGTGTGACCATCAGAGTTACACAAACCGAGGTGGCATAGCCCACTACACACTTACACTATACGGTAGACCCTATCATTCCTAGGCTGCAAACCTGGACCCCATGGTACTGTACTGAATACTATAAACCACTGGGATGCAATGGTAAGTATCTGTGTAGCTAAACATACAAAAGTACAGTAAAAATACTATCATCTTACAGGACCACCATTGTATATGCATCTGCCTTTGACTGAAGTGTCATTGTGTAGCAAGTGAATGTATATTACAATTTAAACAATACATGCCCTCAAGGAATTTTGATATCTCTTTCAAGTCATGTAGATATATAGCACATTTCCAGCTCCCCGAATAGTTTTTTTGCTTATTCAGGAATAATTTTCTAACCTGACCAATTTACATCTTTTGATCCCGTAAACCATAGAAGCTTCTCCCTGTTTTCGGCCCCATCCTGCTGACCTGTCTTAAAGCTAGTCCATGCTGGCTTTCAGCCTTCAACTGCCACTGGGAGTGACAAGGGTTCTGGAAGGCTGGGCTGGCGTGGCAAGGGGAGACTCCCCTGAAAGGAAGAATGTCCCCAGGGAGTGCGGCGTGGCCAGCACATCTTCTCACACTTTATTCCTGCTCTGAAACCCAAGTCAGAACTTCAGTTTCTGGTTTCTTTGAAAGTACTTGGTGAACAAATAAGCAAATAGGGGATAAGGAATGTCCAGTCATTGTTTGAGGATTTTCTGGAATTTGGAGCATTGTTATTTTAGTTGTTTAGAAAAGGCTTTGGTTGCCTGTTTATCATACAGTGCAGGCTCATGAATAACTTCCTGGGGGACTGGCCCACATTCTTGGTCCGGTTGGCGTCTCTTGCCCAGCAAGGCTCATGCCGGGCGTCTTCCCAACATCCTGTCTGGGAATGACCTTCTTTTCTCTGCTTACTAAGCTCCGAGAGTCCTTATTGAAATGACCTCCTGCACAGGAAGGCCTGCTGTGGCGCCTGGCAAGAGAAAACAGCCCTGGTTTCTAGGAAGTCCCACAAATACACGCACACACACACACACTCTGGAAGTCTTGTTAGGAAGAGGTGACATGTTTATGTTCTTCCACGCGTCTGATAAGGAAAACCAGCAGACATTCCAGAATGTACAAAACACGGGTGAGGACAGGTGCAAGGACCACAGCTGGAAACCAGCGAACACAACAAACCGCAGCTGTCTGGGCCATGCCACGCTGGTGTGGGCCAGAGGGGAAACCAAGGGCGTGCGTGTGTCTATGTGTGTCTGCAGATGCACTCAGGCTTAAAAATTAGAAGCCTGCAAAGCCCCCTGCATTTAAGAGAAAAAAAAATAATCATGGAATTTTTCTGGCCATCTAGAAAAAATTTTGCTCTTGCCAAAAATATTCAAAAGCTATCAGGATTTTTTTTTAACTTATCTAAATGATATTAGTGAGTGCAGGGGAATCCCAAACAAAGGGACAGTTGTGTTCTTTAAATTCACTCTTGGTTTTAAACGAGACCTGCTTGAACATAATAAAGAACTTCAAGAAGCCCTCTCACCTTGGTTGAATGATAAAGTGTTTAGAAATAATACCTTCATGATTATCATGTACAAGACATTCATCTTATAAGGACTCTGATGACTAGAGAGTTCAGTGCCTTGCCTCTGGTTGTAATGCAGAAGCGTGATTCCCACTTAGGGGTGTTCAACATGCCATGGCCTCCCTTTCTCTGTGATCAAAGTTAGCATCACAGTTGAGTGACCTACCCAGGGCCCTGAACTCACAAGCATCTCATATCCGGTTTAACATTCTGCTGTTGCCATGGTAAAATCTTTAATAAGGATTAATAAATTATTAATCCTTAATGAATCCTTAATACCTTTGAACTCGGATCTTGCAGGTGTACTCCAACATGAAAACGGAGCATGCATGTGAGCTGAGTAGTGACATGCAACATGCATGTCCATTGATCCTTGCTGCTCATTCACATACAGTGTTCGCGATGCCCCCTGGACACAGAATTCCAGTGGACCCACCACGTGTGGGGATTCAGGGGAGACTCAAAGCAAATACAAGGTAAGCATGGACAACCAAGGAAGGTGAGGTGAGGAAGGAGGAGGGACACTGACAGCTCCAAGAGGGCACATTTTCCATTTGAAGCAGAACTTGCTTTGACACAAGAAAGAAGGCAATGGCATTCTATTAATAACAAATACTAACGACCAACGGACCCTATTCTGTTCTTTCTTACTCATGCACTTCCCTGAATTAACCATATACTTCCTCTGAAAATGAAGACATAGACCAAAAGGAAAAAAGGGCAGCTGAGCGTTAAGATTTGATAGAGTTTGTGCATATCAAGAAGTAAAATAAAAGGCTGGGTGTGGTGGCTCACGCCTGTAATCCCAGCACTTTGGGAGGCCAAGGTAGGCAGGTCACCTGAGATCAGGAGTTCGAGACTAGCCTGACCAACATAGTGAAACCCCGTCTCTACTAAAAATACAAAAATTAGCCAGGTGTGGTGGTGCACACCTGTAACCCCAGCTACTCGGAAGGCTGAGGCAGGAGAATCACTTGAACCCGGGAGGCGGACGGTGCAGTGAGCCAAGACTGCGCCACTGCACTCCAGCCTGGGTGACAGACTGAGACTCCATCTCAAAAAAAATAAAATAAAATAAATAAATAAATAAATAAAAAGAGTTGAGTTAGTTTTGTGCAGTATTTCCACTGTTCTGGCAAGAAAAAAAATATATATTCATGTATAAGCTGAAAAATATGAATTACATAATTCCAGTGATTCTGCAGATGAGTTAAATACTCTCATATTTGCATTTATTTATTTATTTATTTTTAATTTTTTTATCTTTTTTTGAGATGAAGTCTTGCACTGTCACCCAGGCTGCAGTACAGTGGCACGATCTCAGCTCACTGCAACCTCCGCCTCTGGGGTTCCAGTGATTCTCGTGCTTCAGCCTTCAGAGTGAGTAGCTTGGGATTATAGGCACACGCCACCACGCCTGGCTAATTTTTGTATTTTTAGTAGAGATGGGGGTTTCACCATGTTGCACAGGATGGTCTCAAACTCCTGACCTCAGGTGATCCACCTGCCTCGGCTTTCCAAAGTGCTGGGATTACAGGTGTTGGCCATCGCACCTGGCCCATATTTGCATTTAAAACTGACATTGTACAATGTAAAGATGAACCATAAAATTCATGCTAATAATTTAAAATTTTAATTTTTCTTGACTTAGAACAACACTAAACAGCAGATTTTTTTTTTTAACATCATGATAAATTGAGACACTGCAGAAGGAAGGAAAAAAGCTTTATTTTATAGTACCTTTGACAATAGTTTCTTCCCCCACTTTTAAACAGTTTTCATTTGCACTGGGTCTCATGAATACAGAGCTTGCTGTGCTGGTGATAAATAGAAATTTTGGCAGAAACACATCACATGGTCGTTAGGCTTAATCTTGGAGATTTGTGTAGCTTATGTCTACTAGTGCTCACATCACCTCTACTTAGGATTTCATTTTAGCAATTGTCTTTTTTTGGATTCCCCCAGAAGCATACCAAGATGAGAATTAAAGTGGGGACGTGGTGGCCCTGACAAGAGAAACCTGTGTAAAGGGCTTACTGGAGAATACAGAGGGTGTGGGAATGATGAAGTAGTCAGGTTATTCAAGGGAGCTGAAGGGGCCACTGAAAAATGTTTCATGAGAAATGTGTGTACTTTCCTCAGCAGAGGCTATGCCGCCTGCCCTTCCCCTCCCTTTCTCCATCGTTTCTGGATGCTAGGACTTCAGAATTTGTTTAGGAGGAGACACACATTTGTGATGGAAATCACAGTGTTATGGCTGAATTATGTCCCTCAAAATTAATATGTTGAAGTCCAAACCCTCAGGAGTCCAAACTCTCAAGAGTGTGACTGTATTTGGAGATAGGGACTTTATAGAAGTAATGAAGTTAAAAAGTAAAGTCATGAGGGTGGGCACTAATTCAATATAACTGGTGTCCTTCTATGAAGATGAGATGAGGACATAGACGTGCACAGAGGGAAGATCATAGGAGCGCACAGGGGAAGATGCCATCTGCAAACCAAGGAGAGAGGCCTCAGGAGAAACCAACCCTGCTCACACCTGGATCTCGAACTTCTGGGCTCCAGGGCTGTGAAAGAACACATTTCTATTGTTTAAGCCCCGCAGTCTGTGGTACTTTGTTATGGAAGCCCTAGCAAATGAACACACGTGGTTAGAAAAAAAATCCATCAGGAAACATGAAACAGAGTTCCTTGCTAAAATGACCTTGGAAGACATGATGAGAGATCAGAATGCTAGGGCAAGAACAGGAGATGAGTCTACAAACCTGGGGCAAAACTGGAAGAGTTCTGAGGGCCAGCTCTGCCACGTAGTGGATTTGTGGTCTTGGGTAAGGTACTTAATCTCTTGGTGCCTACATATTGTCGACTGTAAAATGAGCTTCAAATACAGTATACATGATAGAGATGCCATCAGAATTAAATGAGATAATGCTTGCAAAATGCTCAATATGTTAGCTCATCTTGTTTTTCTGTAGGAAGTAAGAACTCCTTAAGGACTAGCATCATGTTTTCTTCTGCTTTGGAAGTAAACTGGAAGCATGTCTTGAGTGTTAGCCTTTCACTTCAAGGAAACAAATCTGTGTGGAAGTTGAAGTCTAGTTGGGGAAAACCAGATACACAAAGGAAGTGATGAAGCTAGAATGTGCAGTTCATCAGTGGATGCTTACCACTTACCAGAAACTGTGTCATACACCTGATTTCATACCCATCTCATTTTAATCCTCTACAAAGTTATGAGATGGATGTCTTTGCCTCATTTTCAAAGATGTGAAAACAATTGGCTAGAGTGGTTAAAGGATTTTTCCAGAGCCTGCTGCCAGTAATTTACGGAGCAGGAATCAAACCTAGGTGTGTGGGTATCAAATTCATTTATGCCATGACTATTAAAATAAAACTTCCTTTCAAATTATCTTCCTAATTACCCTGCAAGGCAGGTGAGGACCTATTGCTAGCACCATTTTATATATTAGGAAAATATGACCCAGGAAATCCTGAACCATCCAAGTACGTACCCAATGTTAAGTGTAAAGCCAACTCAGTTCCAGTGAGGTTTTCTGGCTCGTAATCTGGTGATATTTAGCTACTTAGATACTGTTTAGATATTCAGATTCTCAGTGAGTGACTCACAAGATTATGTCTGCGAACTGTGGCTAGATTTCATTTTGAAGGAAGTTTTGGAATGCCACTTTTCCTGTATAGGATGGGAAACCCATTGATGTCAGCCACGATCCCAGGGCAGCTGGAGTGCTGTGGGCCCAGCATGGGCTTGGGGGTCAGAAGACAGAATTTTTGCTCTGGTTCTGCCACAAATTGGCTGAGTGACTTTGAACACTTCATTCTTCTTGGCCATGAGTTTCTCATCTGCAATTTGGAGAGACTGTACCGAATAATTTCCAAAATCTGTTAAAAATCTGATTCTATGAAATGGAATCTCCGGTTGGGCCTAAGAAACTAGTAAGAAGCCCAGAGACGTATGGAGGTAGAGATTGCCCTCTGTTAGTCTCAGCAAGAAGGAAATCACCTTCCCCACAAAAAAAAAACCATTTTATAGCTGAAATTGCAGAGAAGCAGTGGCACAGGCAACATTGGTGGGTGGGGGAAAAGTCCTTATTAAAATCTTGGTTACAGGAATAAGTCTACTGGGGACTTAAAGAAATCCCATTTGCACTCCAAGGATCAGCAAGTACAAATCCTACAAGAACTCTCTGGCCATAGAACAGAGAGTCCTAGAACAAAGCCTGTTTTGATCCTTTGTCTTGGTTAAGGGTGACACCATATCTCCAGCATAAACGACGACGATTGCATTGTTCGCATGCCGGTAATAGAAAAGGAAAACACAACCAGGCTGTTTGGTTAGTTTTGGCATGCACAGTTCAGGGTGGGAAATGCCCTTGGGTTCTGGCTGACCACCTGTTATTTAATTTTTTAATAAGTGTGCCAGCTTCAAAATACCAGAGACTCTCCTTGAAGGGTAATCACAAAGAATTGAATGTCCTGGTATTTGGAACAAGCATTCTATCTAGCTTATTGGCATCATAGCCCTTACTGTAATATCAGCGATAACAGCAGTAACCGCAACAAGAGCCCATGTCAGGTCCCTGGGGATCTCCCAAAGAAAACCTTTCCATTTATAGCAAAAAACAGTAAAGAAGCAGGGATCTGAGGGGGAAACATAGATAGTTTGTTCCCGTGGTAGCACTTCCCTCGGTATTCTAGTGCGGGATTAGTGGGCTTCAAAGTGGAACTGCCTCCAGCCTCAGTGGGCCTAGGACCATGCCCATCAGTTATCCACTCTGGTTTTGGAGGTCACTGTGTGATCTTGGGCTGACCTTGGAAGCTTCTGACTTACCGGCCTGAGGTTCGCATAATTGCAGGGCTTCTATGTTCTGACGGCTAAACTGGAAAGCATGGTATTCATGCTGGATACCTCGTCCAACAGGTGTCACCATGTGGTCCATAGACCGGCAGCATTAGCATCCCTCTGGAGCTTGTTAGAAATGCCCCACCCTAGATACAGGGAATAGGAGCCTGAATAAGATCCTTGTAACAAGATCCTGGGGTGATTCATTTGCACATTTTAGTTAGAGAAGCCCTGAAATGAAACCATACCACCCTGCATATCTGGGAGGTAGATTAGCCATTCACTGGCCCAGGACTGTTTGGTTGTAAGAAGAAAGAACTTACTTTGGAAATTCAATGGGTACAATCAGAGCTTTTCTGTTTTCTGCTCTGTGATATTACCTCTTTTCAGCCAAAAGGAAAAGGTTCTTTTATTTAGAAAAAAAAAGTATTTGGGGAAAAAATAGCTGAAACAATTCACATAAAAGAAAAAAACATGCTTAAT
Source organism: Homo sapiens (assembly GCF_000001405.40). Classification (NCBI taxonomy): domain Eukaryota; kingdom Metazoa; phylum Chordata; class Mammalia; order Primates; family Hominidae; genus Homo; species Homo sapiens. The sequence goes on from NC_000006.12 coordinate 11,615,737, forward strand.
ATCTCCACTTAAAAACACATGAATAAATAAGTTTAGGTCCTCTTGCAACTTTTCTAATCCTACCTTCAAAATTATCCACTGTTAACCAATTTCACGGGTATCCCACCAAAAATACTATGCTTATATTTGCATTATATACACACACACACACACACACACAAACACACCAGGGAGATCATCCTTAATGATTGTTTTTCTACATACTTCCTAAGCTAGGACAATGAAAACAAAAATTAGAAGGAGCCCTTTGAAAGGCCTTCCATTTTAAGTCTATTGGCAGCTCGATCTGAGAAGCATTTTTCTTAAAGAGATGGGTGCACAGGAGGCGGAGCTTGCAGTGAGCCGAGATCGCGCCACTGCACTCCAGCCTGGGCGACAGAGCGAGACTCCGTCTCAAAAAAAAAAAAAAAAAAAAAAAAAAAAAAAAAAAAAAAAAAAGAGATGGGTGCAGAGGGCCTTTTGCAAAGTGAGTCAACATGAGCCCCACAGAGTGCAGGGTGTTGGCCGGATGGCCAGCTCCCCTGGCTCTCATTTCTGCTGTCATCATTTTTCTCCACAGCTCAAGCCTCATGAAAGCTGCAGGGTACCCTCAGATGCCCCATGTCCTTCTGGAGTTTACAAATGTGGCTCAAACACGGTGGGTAGGGCCAGTTGGGATCACAGGAACTCACGCTACACTCCCGGTGAGGTCATGAAAGAGCCTGAGTCCTGCTGCCAGGAGGGGTTATTTCTTACCAAATGGTTTCCAGTGGTTTCACAGAATTCCTTATGCACTCTAAGCCGGAGCTTTCATTCCTGAACACTACAATTCAGGGCCTACAGTTCATTCCTCAAAAATGAGGCCATAATTCAGTTGAGGTCATTTGTTTTCTAATTCCTCTTCAGTATCTGTTTGGAAAATCACTTACTTAGCTTTCTTCATCCACTCACAGTGTCATTACTCTGAACTTTTAACATAAGTGTGTGTATGTGTGTGTGTGTGTACACATACAGTTTATATATATATACACTTTATATACATACGTATATGTACACACACACTTTTTATGTATTTATATATTTAAAGTATATACTTTATATATACATATATTTGAAGTATTTATGTATATAAAAATATGTATATATAAAGTATATCTGTAAAGTATAATATATATTATAAAGTATATTTACACCTAATTATACATACTTGAAATATATATACTGTATATATGTATATAAAGTATATGTATACATAAAGTATATATGTAAAGTATAATGTATATAATTTATATATGATATTATATATGATAAAGTATAAATAGTACATATATTATGAAGTATATGTACTTTATATAAAGTATATATAGCATGTATTATAAGGTATACATATTATACATACTTTATATATTATAAAGTATGTATATATAATATGTAATATACATATCATGTACATCATAATATTATATATTATATACATAATAATAAATATATAATATACATTATAATAATGTATTATATATTATATACATTATAATAATATATACTATATATATTATAATAATATATGTTACATACTCTATACATTGTGATGTTATATATCATATATTATAATTATATATTATATTATATGCATTAAAATAATATGTATTATATATTATATACATTATAAAAATATCTTATATATTATAATATATTATTACTTTATTATATATAATTGAATATGCATATTGTGTACATATTATATAATATATACATTATAAAATATATAATATAATAAAGTATGTATAATATGTATAATATAAAATATACTATGCATATTATACATACTTTATATATAGTGTATATATACGTGAAGTATATATATTATAAAGTATATATAAAGTATATACTTAAAGTATATATAGAAAGTATATAGAAGTATATAAGTATATGTAAGTATATACCACGTATACACTTATATATATTTATATACTTCTATATACTATATATATACTATGTATACTATGTATATGTAGAAGTATATATACTATATATACTATGTATATATAGAAGTATATATGCCACTCTAAAGTATATATAAGTATATAACCTTTATATATTTTATGTATATCTAAGTGTATGTAATGTATTTATGTGTATATACATGTAATCACCTGACTTCCACAATACTGATGGCTTACAGCTTTTTGCACACTTAACTTTCTTCCTTTCCTATCCCTGACTTAAGCTATAATATTGAAAGGTTTGAGGACTGGTTGGTGACCCGTACTTTCCTGCTGTAAAAGTGTCTCACCTGAGGAAGTGACACGGTCATAGACCAAGGAGACTGTGTCCTTTCCTCTCACATATGGGGTTTGGAGAGGAAGGATTGCTCCCCTTCTGGGACTCATGACCCGTGTTTTATTATTTGCCTTTGTATTAATTTCCTATTCCTTCTATTATAAATTATCACAAACTTAGTGGCTTAAAACAATTTGTTATCTTACAGTTCTGACGACAGAAGTCAAAAATCTGTCTCACTGGACCAAAGTCAAGGTGCCAGCAAGCCAGTGAGGCTGGATGCTTCTGGAGGCTCTAGGGGACATTCCATTCCTTGCCTTTTTCAATTTCTAGAGGCTGCCAGCCCTCCCCGACTCCTGGCCTCATCACCCCACCTCTGCTTCCATCATCCAATCTTCTTCTCTGATCCTGACCCTCATGTCCCCTTCTCACAGGACCCTGCAGATTAAACTGGGCTCACCCAGTTAATGCAGAATAATCTCCCCATCTAAAATCCTTAAGTTAATTGCATCAATAAAGTCTCTTTTGCCATGTAAGGTAACACAGTCATAGGTTCTAGGGATTAGGATGTAGACATCTTTAGGGGGCCATTGTCCTATCTAGCACAGTCCACAAGGCAAAATGCTGAAATTGTGACCCTACAGAATGTCCCACCAGCCAAGGAAGATTTTACTTATTGCCTACAGTTCAAGCAGCTTGGAACCGTAACACAAAACAATTCCCAGACACCTCAGAAAGGGGGCAGCAGATCAATATTTTTGATAGGGCTTAGAGATGCGTTTTTACCAGCAGGGAGTCAATATGAAGGTATGAGAAGATAGAAAAAAGGGATGTGGAGACTTACATGAATGTAATAGTCATCATAACATCTGCCATTTACTAAACCTTCGTGTCCTTGACCTAGGGCTAGGCACGGTGTATGCTGTTTCACTGAATCTGCACAAATAGGCATTGATGTCCTTGTTTTAAAGAGGAGGAAACTGGCCAGGTGTGGTGGCTCACGCTGTAATCTCAGCACTTTGGGGGGCTGAGGCTGGTGAATCACCTGAGGTCAAGAGTTTGAGACCAGCCTGGCCAACATGGTGAAACCTCGTCTCTATTAAAAATACAAAAACTTGCTGGGCATAGTGGCATGCACCTGTAATCCCAGCTACTTAGGAGGCTGAGGCAGGAGAATCGCTTGAACCTGGGAGGTGGAGGTTGCAGTGAGCTGAGATTTCACCATTGCACTCCAGCCTGGGTGACAAGAGCGAAACTCTGTCTCAAAAAAAAAAAAAAAAAAAAAAAAAAACACAAAAAAACGATGAGGAAACGAATTTGTACAAGGATAATGGGCCTTACAGCTTCTAGTCTAGGTAGGTTCCCCAGGACCACTGCTTGTCAGTAGAGATAATGATGTTTCTGAATGTGTTTTTAAATCACTAGAGTTACCTTCCCTGAAAAGAGTACCTTTAGCCTTCCCAGAACCTTCTGCTGTGGGTTAATTTCATCTTCCCTTATGTCAGCAGAATGAGTCTGGCCATTGTTAGAGAGGATGGTGTTTATCCTTCCGGACATCGCCCATTACTTTCTTTCTCCACTCAGCTGACCAGCAGTCTGTTGGATCTACTTGACTTTCATTAGAACAGAAACTACAGTGTTTTAATGATGGGCATTCAAGACCTTGTTAGAGAATGAATTTGTATTTGATTAACATTTATTGAATACGTGTCATGGGCTGTGGGTTGAGCTGGGTAACTGGCATATAGCTCAGTAAGTGTGTGATGGAAATGGGGCTGCTGCCAGCACAGGCCACCACAGCAGTTAGGCGGTCAAGTGGCTTGTAGTGAGGAGAGCTTAAAGGTCTGCTTACCACCATGATTTTCTGCCCTGCAGGAGAAGGGCCAGATGGCTGGACTCCATTCTGGTTTGAAGTGATTTTACTGCTTACTCTCCACTGATAGGAGTTGAGTCTCAAAATATGTGTCAGACTAGGTCTTCCTGTCACAAATAGTGAAAGGAGAAAATAAAATCGTAATATAGGAATTTAAGCTGATTTCAACAAATCTTGACATTGCTCAGACTGTACCCAACTAGGGGTGTGTTGGATCCTGAGCTGGCCCTCGAGAGCCAATTGTACACATGTTCCCAGTTCCCTGTCAAGGGATCCAGTGACATCAGGTTCATACCTTGCAACTAGCTACAGTAGGACTATTTACACCATGAAAATCTGCAAACACTACAGTTCAGGGCTTCGTTTGTTTCTCTAAAGAGCCAGTTTATCAGCATGCTACTGTCCCCAACACACACATTTTGTGTAAGTGATCATCATACTGAATTAAAATAAGTAATTAATTGACTAAATAAAGCAATGTTAATATTTGTTAGCATTGGTAGTTTACTATGTTTCTGAATATGGTTTTTTAATAACTAGACCTACTTCCCTGAAGAGAGTATCGCTAGCCTTCTCATAACCTTCTGCTGTGGGTTAGTTTCGTCTTACCCTATGCCTAGGCCTGAAAAGAGCAATATTTTAATATCGTAGATCTGTATGCTAGAAGGGATGCTAGAGGGTAAACAGAATATTTTTCCATTTGACAGACAAGGAAATGGAATTGACCCTGAATCAGAAGAGCTCCGTATCCTTCTTCTTGGATGAACCGATCCAGATCCCTTTGGGGATGTCTTTCTGCACTTTTCCCCATAGCGTCAGCTTTTGGAACTCAAAAGTAGTAGATATCCCAGGGACAGAGTATTCAAAGCTTTACTGTGTTAGGGATCGAAGTGACAGCAGAGTAAGGAAGTAAATCCAGGATGCAGGAGTTTGGGTGGACATGCCAGGGCTGGTTTGTCTCTACCTACACTTGTGACGATTAATAAAGAAAACAAGTTCTGTTTTCCGTAAGTCCCTTATTCATTCCAAAACACCTCTGCATGCCAAGCATGGAGATCCTAGGCCCAGAGTCAGGGTCAATCGCTGGCCATTATAGGACTCTCAGCTTCAGAAACTCCCATGGCACACACGTGGCCATGGTTTCTCATTAAAAACCCAAAGCAGAGGAGGATGGTTATACTGTACCAGTGTTGTCCAGGAACTCATCCTTCCATGGCTAACCCAACCAAACAGACTAATTTGTTTTAAACATTAATATAAGCAGGAAATCTACCACAAGACCTTCTGTTGGAGGGTAGGCTATTTGTAGTTTGCATCCAGAGAAGAACATATGAATATTTCTTCTGTCAACATTCGCCTGCACTGTACGTGCTGCTCTGCTTCTCTGGCCTCAGCCCCACACTGAGCCTGTTGAGGCGTGAAGCTGAGAGGTCAAGTGTCTCATATGTGCTGAATCCCAGATGTCGCTTTCCTGCTCTCAGCCTGCAAGCCACTGAACCATGCAGGGTGAAGGTTGGAGGTCTTGGCGGTGACTCTGTGTTCCTGGGAGCAGCCTCCTTCTCTCCCCATGTCCCTCTGGCCTGCACATGCCACCTGTCTCCCCAACCCTGCCCCATCTTATGACAATCCCTGCAAAAATAAATGAGCAGGGAAGATTATTAACTGTTTACCTGTGAACTCTGGCATGTTCTGAAAGCTGAGTTCTTGTGTCCAACAACCTAAGGTGAAGCTGGTTGTGTGTATTTTGCAGAGTAGCAGCTGGAAATGGGCTTTCTGATTCTAGAAGAGCCCCATTGGCTGTAGATGAATGTAGCCAATATTTCTAGCAATTTGTCCTGGCCTCTCATTTTCCCTCCTTCTAAAAACTTCTTAGCCATGGCTTCCAGGTATAAAGTGACTAAGATACGCCTTCGTTATTCTTGACCCAGGGCCCCAGGAAAGAGTTTCTGAGGCTTGACACAGGTGGGGTTTGCAGAAAAAACATCACACAGTGAAGTGACAAATTTAGAGGCAGGGGGAATCATTGAGGATTCCCATGTTGTGAAGCAGGAGGCGAGTTGTAATGTTGAGGGACCTGAAGAAGTTAGAGGCACGGGGAAGGAAAAAGGAAGAAGATTTTGTTACTGATTGGATTTAGAGATTCAAGAATAAACAAGAAACAAGTATGACTCTGAGGGTTTGAGCCTGAGCCATGGGAGAATGGAGGAACCACTGACAGAAGTTGGGAGGGATAAAATGGGACCAGTGCTAGAGTGATGAGTACCTGAGAGAAAAATTCTTGAATGTCACTAATATTACTAAACATGGATTTGTTGTACTAGCCATGGTGGAACGATACCATAGTTACGTTCCTAAAAAGAAATCACAAGCCTTGACCTAGCTAAGGCAATTGCGCTGAGGGCTGAAAGAAAACAAAATAAAGTGTTTGTTCCCACCTCCCCTCTTCTCCTGGGCTTATAATCATTGACAGGTTACTACTGCTATGCATTTATAGCTTTTTGGAACAGAGCAAGATTCTTGGCTACCACCCAGGGAAGGCTGTCTAGCAGAGTGAGGCCACATGGAAAGTTTCAGTCCCAGGAAGGTTCATCCTGAGTCTTTCACTGATTTCACAAACACAATGAATTGAGTATCCTGTAGGCCAGGCCCCGGGCTAGGCCCTGGGGGGATAAGGTAAACAATACCAACACAGGCCCCCCTAATCCCAAGCACAATCAGCAGTCTCTTAAGACTTTTGTCTGGAAAGGCTGTTGGTCTGCTCTGGCCATCATCACAAAGTACCATGGACTCCAGGCTGGAAATCTAAGATCAAGCTGTGGGCAGAATTGGTTTCTCCCAAGGCCTCTCTCCTTGGCTTGTAGATGGCATCTCCTTCCAGTGTATTTGTGTCCTCATCTCCCCTTCTTATAAGGACAGCAGCCATAGTAAATCAGGGCCCACATGAGTGACCTCATTTTACCTTAATTACCTTCTTAACCGGCCTGTCTCCAAATACAGTCACACATTTTGAGGTCCTAGGGGGTTAGGACTTCAATATATGAATTTGTGAGAGTGGGACACAATTCAACCCATAGCAGGCTAGTCCCTGGCTGCCCACCTCGTCAGGGACTATTCTGTGGGATTCTGTGTAAGCAGCAGCCTCGTCCTGCCTCCCAGTCCTGAGGAAGTCCATCTCGTGGGCATGGGGAAGCCAGTGTGTCTGAGTTCGTATTAAAGATGCTCTGAACAAGAAGAAAACCCATTCGCAGCATGGATGGGCCTGTCCCTCTATCCATGGATCTGTGCTCTTTGTCTTGTGGGACTTGTGGACAGAATAAACGGTGATCTGGGCTTTTTACTCATACAAATGAAATGACTGGTGTGGTGTCGGTGTGTGTGAAAGGGAAGAGTCACTGGATCCAAGTAAGCCAGACTCCTGCCCCTCAGCCCCCTCTCCAGTACACAGGACACGGGGGGCAGGGGCCCTTCCTGCTTCCACTTAGGGCCTGGAGGGTTTCTCTATCTCTGACTGGGTCCCTAGGTTCCATGTTACCCTTTGATGATGTACCCGCTCACTCATTTTGTGCTCTTCCAGCCAAGATTGTCTGTTATTTGATAGAACTGAGAAAAATCTCCAGATTGGCTGCAAAATCCAACTTTTACAGCTGTTTCCACTTCTATTTAATGTGACAACAAGATCTTTCCCTGAGATTTCTTCCAGACTCAATTTTGAGATGAAGAACCTTCTTTTTTTTTATTTTATTATTATTATACTTTAAGTTTCAGGGTACATGTGCACAATGTGCAGGTTAGTTACATATGTATACATGTGCCATGCTGGTGTGCTGCACCCATTAACTCATCATTTAGCATTAGGTATATCCCCTAATGCTATCCCTCCCCCCTCCCCCCACCCCACAACAGTCCCCAGAGTGTGATGTTCCCCTTCCTGTGTCCTTGTGTTCTCATTGTTCAATTCCCACCTATGAGTGAGAACATGCGGTGTTTGGTTTTTTGTCCTTGCGATAGTTTACTGAGAATGATGATTTCCAATTTCATCCATGTCCCTACAAAGGACATGAACTCATCATTTTTTATGGCTGCATAGTATTCCATGGTGTATATGTGCCACATTTTCTTAATCCAGTCTATCATTGTTGGACATTTGGGTTGGTTCCAAGTCTTTGCTATTGTGAATAGTGCCGCAATAAACATACATGTGCATGTCTTTACAGCAGCATGATTTATAGTCCTTTGGGTATATACCCAGTAATGGGATGGCTGGGTCAAATGGTATTTCTAGTTCTAGATCTCTGAGGAATCGCCACACTGACTTCCACAATGGTTCAACTAGTTTACAGTCCCACCAACAGTGTAAAAGTGTTCCTATTTCTCCACATCCTCTCCAGCACCTGTTGTTTCCTGACTTTTTAATGATCGCCATTCTAACTGGTGTGAGATGGTATCTCATTGTGGTTTTGATTTGCATTTCTCTGATGGCCAGTGATGGTGAGCATTTTTTCATGTGTTTTTTGGCTGCATAAATGTCTTCTTTTGAGAAGTGTCTGTTCATGTCCTTTGCCCACTTTTTGATGGTGTTGTTTGTTTTTTTCTTGTAAATTTGTTTGAGTTCATTGTAGATTCTGGATATTAGCCCTTTGTCAGATGAGTAGGTTGCGAAAATTTTCTCCCACTTTGTAGGTTGCCTGTTCACTCTGATGGTAGTTTCTTTTGCTGTGCAGAAGCTCTTTAGTTTAATTAGATCCCATTTGTCAATTTTGGCTTTTGTTGCCATTGCTTTTGGTGTTTTAGACATGAAGTCCTTGCCCATGCCTATGTCCTGAATGGTAATGCCTAGGTTTTCCTCTAGGGTTTTTATGGTTTTAGGTCTAACGTTTAAGTCTTTAATCCATCTTGAATTAATTTTTTGTATAAGGTGTAAGGAAGGGATCCAGTTTCAGCTTTCTACATATGACTAGCCAGTTTTCCCAGCACCATTTATTAAATAGGGAATCCTTTCCCCATTGCTTGTTTTTCTCAGGTTTGTCAAAGATCAGATAGTTGTAGATATGCGGCGTTATTTCTGAGGGCTCTGTTCTGTTCCATTGATCTATATCTCTGTTTTGGTACCAGTACCATGCTGTTTTGGTTACTGTAGCCTTGTAGTATAGTTTGAAGTCAGGTATCGTGATGCCTCCAGCTTTGTTCTTTTGGCTTAGGATTGACTTGGTGAGAAGAACCTTCTTTTGCAACCTCTTCTCTGTATTGAAGTTACCTGAACCGAAGCCCAGAGGCGTCTCAGGATTCTGTTCATGGAATTTCACTGGACCAAACTGAGCTCTCCTCTGATGGGATTTCCTGTGCTCAAGTACTTTGCACTAAACTCATGATAGAGTTTTCTCAGAGCTCACAGTTCTTTGTGACATTCTGAAATATCTTTAAACCCTTTCCACATCTACCCAGAGTTTCAGCCTGCCTGGGTGGTATGGAATCCAAATTCATGGCTCCGTGACTCAGACACACGTTGGCACTAAGTTATTTTATCTAAGACGCAAATATACTTGCTGACCCCAGCCCTAAACAGAACACATCTGGCGTGAACACACCTCTGGTTGTAGAAGGGTGAGCGCATCTGCTGCGGGACAGTGTGTAGACACGGGGAACATTTTCCTCTGGAAGGATAAGTCCCATGAGCTTACTAGATCATGTTCTTTGTTTTCAAATTCCAATATTCATGCCTGAATAGCTAACACAAACAGATCTTTTCCACGAGGGTTGGCAACAGTGCCTAAAATTCCATAAAAAAAAAAAATCAGACAATAGGTTGTTAACATTTAAGCCAAGTAATAAAAAGTTGAAAGAACCCATGTTAAGCAAAGAAGTCATTCTGGGACCCCGGTTGTTAAGCCAGTATGGGACACCCATGAGCTCTGGCTTGGTGTTAATGCTATTTTGACGAAGCTATTTTATACTTGATTGTTTAAGAGGGAAAAAGCTCTGTCCTTGTAAAATTGAGAATGTCTTAACGTGAGCACTCTAGACTGCCTGACATGCGGGCCGAGGCTTCTCTTTCTCACATTTTGTTATCAGGGCAGTTCTTTGCAGGTTGGTGTCCCTGGAGAAGATGCTGAGATGGAGATTTGCCTGACTCTGGAATGCTCTCAGGATCAACATCCACGAGGGCAGAGGGAAAAGTTGGTGTGAGGCAGTCACCAGAGTTCTCAGCTAATCCCAGGGGCATGGTCCATCAGAGAGATCTGATTTTGGGCAAGGGGACCAGGCATAGATATCCTGCATTGGCTGTTGGCAATGTGCTTTCCCAGGAAGGAGGGTGACCTTGAGTGAGCATCTCTCTTGAGCAAAGTTAACTCTCAAAGAGGACTATATTAATCCATTCTTGCACTGCTATAAAAAAAATACCTGAGACTGGGTAATTTATAAGAAAAGAAGTTTGTCTCACAGTTCTGCCGGCTGTAGAGGAAGCACAGAGGCTTCTGCCTCTGGGGAGGCCTCAGGAATCTTCCAGTCATTATGGAAGGCAGAACGGAAGCAGGCATCTCACATGGCGGGAGCAGAAGCAAGAGGGAGAGGGGGAAGATGCCACACTCTTTTAAACTAGCGGATCTCATGAGATCTCACTCCCTTTCACCAGAACAGCACCAAGGGGGAAATCCACCTCCGTGATTCAGTCACCTCCCACCAGGCCCTATGATTCAATCACCTCCCACGAGGCCCCACCTCCAACACTGGGGATTACGAGATGACCTGAGATTTGGGCAAGGACACAGAGCCAAACCATAACAAGGACTGACCGTATTGGGCGTGAATTCTCCCTTTTTGAAGGGGGAAATTTAGGCAGTAGCACAGTATCCATGACATTCCCTATGTTTTGTGGAGGATTATTGAGGAGTTTGTAGGATATACATAGACGTGCATATATATGAATACTAATGATAAAATAATGGCAGAAATCAGGAACATAAATAATGGGAAACCTGACTACAGTGGATTAAACACAGAGTGGCTTATTTTGTATTATACAAAAGGAGGTCTGCAGGTAGGCACGCAGGAATGGGCCATCCAGGCATCTGCAACATGAGGGATGTAGGCTTGGCCCATCTTTCTACACACCATTCTCTTGCCAATCAATTGTCATGCTTGTTCCCTTGTGGCTGCAGGATGGCTGCTCCTTCTAAGCAGGAATGAGGGCAGGGCAAAGGTGCAAAGGGCAACAAAAGGGCTTTCTTTTAGTAAGGTTTTCCTTTTTTTATTTTGAGAAGGGGACCTCTTTCTTGGGGACTTTTACCTGCAGCTCACTGGCCAGCATCTTGTCACATGGCTGCTTTTAGTGGTGAAAGAAGCTGAGAAATTTACATAGTAGTTTCAGCTGGGTACTTTGCTCCCCTGGCACAATTATGATTCTGTTAGCCAGGAACAAGGGAAGCATATGAGACAGGCGACATCAGTGTTGTCTCTCTGTCCCCTAGGGCAGATTGAGTCTCTGAATTAATTAAGAATTTAGTGATTGAAGCTCAACCACATGAACTCCTTTTCCCTCTCTTCCTTCTCTTAAACGTATTTACTCTGTGCCTATGTGATCATATAAGACGGTAAAGGAAAGGAAGTTGTTGAAGGTGCTTCCTAGACATCTGCTTGGGAAGCCAGCAATGCTGACCAGCCTGGCTAACATGGCGAAACCCCATTTCTACTAAAGATACAAAAATTAGTTGGGCTTGGTGGTGGACGCCTGTAATCCCAGCTACTCAGGAGGCTGAGGCAGGAGAATCGCTTGGACCTGGGAGGCGGAGGTTGTAGTGAGCCAAGATTGGGCCACTGCACTGCAGCCTGGGTGACAAGAGTGAAACTCCATCTCAAAAAAAAGAAAAAGAGCTCAAGTCTGGCTGTGTTGAGGTTAAGGTCCTGGGAGACATCTGGGTGGAGATGCCCAGTAGGCCTCCAGAAAACAGTTGTGAGACTGTGGAGAAAGCCCTGGGCTAGAGATGCAGACTGAGAATCCTCAGCCATATGACATTGTTGGAAGTGTGAGAAGATGGCCAAGAATGATCAGAGAACATTTTCTTCATTAAATCAAATTCCACCTTTGCCATGCCTGAGGTGGTCATTCCATTCTCATAACTATCTCTGGGGCTTTCATGTCTATTCTGCTACTTGACACTTGCCATGGGCTTCCTGGTACAATTACAGATTCCTTTCCTCCCCAAATCGTGTGAGCTCTGAGGTTGCCTGAGTCCTATGAGCCTTCTCCTTATGCTTCTGTTTCACTCAGCATTCTCCAAGGTGTGTCTGTGCCTCGAGGGCAGAAGATAGTGGGAAGGGGTGAGATCCAAGAATCCTGGCTAGAGCAAGGCGGGAGTCCTTGCAGAACATGTTGGGGAGCTCCCTTAGATGACATGGCAAGCTCAGAAATAGAAGCCAGGACAGAAGCTCACTCTCCTGAGGCACTCAGTGGACTCAGGATTAGGGAGTTGTGTGAAGAGGCTGTGGAACCTGAACCTCTGTCGTGGGGACAACCCTGGGGAGGGGCTATGACTCAGGTGATTCCTGGGGCTCAGCAGCAGCCCTAGGACCCTCTTGGACCCAGGTTGGGCCAAAAGCAGATGGTGACGTGATTTGAAGCCCTGTGAACTGGGCGTTGGGAGGCAGGTAGAGGGGCGTGGGGATGGATGAGGACTGAGTGCACTTGGTATACCCTGTTAAGACTGTTCTGGAACTTGTGGCAAGACAGACAGGTGGCTGGTCATGTGAGTGGGGAAAGGGCCATACAGGGGAGGCAGTGCATCCCTTCCTGTAGCTGCTGCTGCTGGCTTTGCCTCTCTCCCAGCCTCATCTGCTGCTACTGCAACTTCCCTCCTGCAGCTCTGCCTTTGGAGGCTGTGAGGACTTCTCAGTGACCACAGACCCTTTAGGCCCCCAAAGGAAAACCCACACTTCCCCTTTTGCAAGGATGTGAGCCTGTTACCCAGGACTTGGACCCAAGAACATCTGAGGGATACTCTTGGGATTTGTACTGTGGCTCCCAAAAGATATAGATCCACTCAGAATCTCAGAATGTGACCTTATTTGGATTAAGCATCTTTGTAGATGTCATTTAAATAAAAATCTCAAATCGAGATCATCCTGATATAGGGTGGACCCCAAATCCAGTGAGGGGTGTTGTTTCAAGAGACAAAGAAAAAGGAGCAGACACAGAGACACTGGGAGGAGAAAGCCATGGGAGGATGGAGGCAGAGCTTGGAGTGATACACCTGCTACTAAGGAATGCCAAAGATGGCGGGAGCCACCAGCAGCTAGGAGAGAGGCGAGGAACAGATTCTCCCTGTGAGCCCCTGGAAGCAATGAACCCTGCTGCCACCTTGATTTCAGATATCTGGCCTCCAGGACTGTGAAAGAAATGAGTTTCTGTTGCTTTGAAGTACCCAATACTGTTACACTGGTCTTTAAGAAAAAAATAAAATAGGTCGGGCATGGTGGCTCACACCTGTAATCTCAGCACTTTGGGAGGCTAAGGCAGGTGGATCACGAAGTTAAGAGATCAAGATCATACTGGCCAACGTGGTGAAACCCTGTCTCTACTAAAAATACAAAAATTAGCCAGGCGTGGTGGCATGTGCCTGTAGTCCCAGCTACTTAGGAGGCTGAGGCAGGAGAATCGCTTGAACCTGGGAGACAGAGGTTGCAGTGAGCCAAGATGGCGCCACTGCACTCCAGCCTGGCGACAGAGCAAGACTCCATCTCAACAAATAAATAAATAAATAAAATAAACCACCCAACTTGGGATCATTTGTTGCGGTAGCCTCAGGCAATGAATGCAGGGTTGTACCAGAAAATTCCTCATCATCCACCAGTTCTGTGGTTCCTCTGACACTGTTAATGGGGGGGCACTCTAACCCTCACTCTAATATTTCTTCTGAGTTTCTGTACTTGGCTTTCTGTGTTAGCTGGCCCTTTATCTCTGGGGCACCTCTATGCCAGAGAAGCCTTTTGTAAGAAGACTTTTGAAACTAGATCTCTATTTAGTGGCTAATCCTAACACCCAAGCAGAGATGGGCACAAAGACTGGGCTCCTAGCATGGCGCCCACTACTGATAATCATATACAATTGACAGTTTTCAGAGTGTCCTCGCATATATCATTTCATCCTCAGAGCAACTCCATAAAGAAGCAGGTCAAGAACAGTTACTTATTTTACCCAGGGGAAAACTGAAGCTTAGAGAACATAGAACGCTTTCGCTCGTCCCATAATTTGCGAATATATTTATGATGGAATTGGAGGGGACCAGGTTCTTTCTTTCTCTTGCATTAGTTAGAAATGTATTTGGCAACAAGTATCAGAACTCTTGATATTTCTGATGGTGGCTTAAAGAAATAAAGGTATGCTTATCTCAGAAAATAATCATCAGAGGAGGCCAGGGCAGGGCTGGTGTGTGACCCAAACATGGCACCCTCCTATTGCTCAAGGTCGTCTTCCCATTGCTCAGCACAGAGGGCTTTCCTTCCTACTTGCCTATCTGTTTTTTAGTGTGACTGCTATACCCCCAGGCTATCCAGTAGGGAGAATGGGAAGAAGTAAGAGGGCTACAGAGTGAAGAGCTTTCTCCTAACAAAGCTCTGCCCTTTGGCTTTAGGCCTCTTCCCCAGTGACGTCTGCCTACACATCACCAGTCAGAATTGTGTCTCGTGGAGGGTTGCTTCCCTGAGGAACACAGGTGTGGAGAAAGGGATAAATATGGGAGGGAAAAACTCTTCAGGGTTACCATTTCGAGTATGTTTTGTTTCCTAAAGTCTGCTTAGGTTGGTACTTGCTGCAATTTTCATTTCACTTGTCAAGTCTTATGGAGAACTGCTTACTCTTACGGTTAGTAGTATTAGAACAGCCACAGTCACCCTAGTAACAATGATGATGAAAAATATGATCAACTTCCACCTGCTCATCTGACTCTTTTTTCCTAATCTTTAGCAACACTCTGTGTTAGGTGGGAACAAAAACAATAAATACATTGCTGATTTTAATGTGAGATGTTCAAATCTCTGACATTTTTAACCTCTAAAGAAGGAGAACACAAGCTTTATTGAGGGCAAATATTTTTGTTATGTTGTTTAAAAAGTAGTATCCTGTGCCCTTGGCTCATTAGAACAGCAATAAACATGTAATGGGAAGGCTATTTTGTTTTCTGACGGGTGCTGTCATTTGCTTTCCTGTGAAAATTTTGGATGCCAAACTGAAATGCTGAAGAAAGTCTGTGCTCTGAAAATAAAATTACATCTTCCTGGAGACCCATGGGAACACGCAGGGGACGCTTGGCTGGGCCCTGTCAGTGACAGCTGCCATTCTGCCTGTGAAGTTCACAGATAATTAAGTTACACAGGGCGGGCTGGCTCCCAGTTGTTTCCTCCAGAGAAAGACCATTTCTTGGCCACTGAGCAGAGGTGGATTTGCCATGAAGGCCACATGAAGCTGAAGCCTGAGGGCCCCTCACTTGCGGTGGCCTGCTTGCTGCGAAGAACCCGCCAATGTCTACATAAGTCCTGTGTCTGACAGTTTGTAAGAGGAATCCTTTTTATTTCTTTTTCTTAAAGAGGGTCCCCCAGAGTGTCTAAAAGTCCAGGTTCCACCCGGGATGACATTGTCATCTCTGCATCTGGGACAACATTGTTGGCAAAAATTTCCCGAGATGCAGCAAGCATTTGCCTTTTCTCCTCCCTGTACCTCTGGTCCCCAACACAGAGCCTTTTTCTCCCCATGGCGTCTACACCTCTGGACTAGAAAAGCTCTCTGGGCCAGGCCGGAGAGGCATTCAGCCCTCCATGGCCGATTTTGAGGTGCTTTCATACTACAGAGGCATGAACAGACAGCTGCTGTACGGAGTGTTGACAGAAGAAAGCCAGGTTGGGGAAATCTTTGCCACTAAATGATCAGAAAAAAGGCCAAAAATATATCTTTTAACATGAGTGAAGTCTCTCTGGGAAAACCGCTTTGAAACCTCAAGCTAAGGGTGGATTATCCTGTCCCTGTGGTCCCAGACATCCTGACCCTACTGGTCTCTTCAGACCTGGCTCATTAGAATGACAGCCCCTGCTTTAATGTTCATTCCCCGTGCTCGTCCATGAGCTCCTCGGAGGTACTTAATTTTTATCCTCTCTGTGCCCAAGACCAGGGCTCCCCAGGGTGGCTGCTGAACAGTAGGCCCTAAAACTATTTGCTTAACCCTCTCCATCTCTCTCTTTCTCTCCCCTCTACTCCTTCCTCTCTCTCTTTCCTTCTCTCTCTTCCCACCCCCCCTCCACATACAATTCAAATAGGTGCTTATAAACATGGAGGCTGGGAAGAATTTTAATAGTTTAAGGCTAACTTCTGTGTTCATTAGACAAGAAGATGAAAAGAGAAGAAAGGGGCATTGAGACCCCCTTTTCTTTTCATTTCAGCAGGAGCAGCGTAGCGTGCGCACACGCACACACGCCCTTCTTCTAAAACAGGTGGTTTAGGCAAAAGGCTACTGACAGCCTGGCATCTCTCTGGTGAGGCTGCGATAACTGGGACTTCCTTGTACACGTTCCTCTGTGGGGTGTGGCACAGCATCAGCCTTTGAGTTGCTACTCCTGGGGATTCCTGGCAGTGCGTGACTTTGAGGGAAGTGAGGCGAGGATTCCTGCCCTCTGTTAAGCCATCCTCATTCATGTTCTCCCCTAATCAGAGCTGCATTTCTCTGTGTGTGTTTTTCAGATTTGAGTCCTGCTTTCAAAATATAAATATTCTAACTTAGTTACCCATTCATGCCTTAGCAGGATATTTAAAGGGATAAGATCTTGGAGACCCAGAGGATTGGAGACAGAGAAGGAGGGGAGGCAGCAGCCAATATGCCTGCTCCAAGAGTGCCCAGGACAAGTCCTGAGTGGTGCCTCAGTTTTGTGGGGGCCCAGACTCACACCCCCAAAGCTCCCAGCTCTGGCAGATGCAGCTGTCAGTACAGCCTAGCTGAGAGCAGGCCTGGGCTGGGAGAAGACACTGGAGGTCAACACATGGCTCTTTGTGCACTTTGTTGGCTTCTCTGCTGGACTCAGCTGGACTCAGCTGGAGGTGACGCTTGGTGACCAAATACAGCACCGCGTCTCTGAGTAAGCCCAGCTCAGGAATGCAGGATGAAGGGGGGCTGCTCTCACTTGCCCAGGGAGAGGCCTTGTGGAGGAATCAGTAAGTCAGCAAGTATTTGTTGAGCATCTATTATGTGCCAGGTGTAGGCTAGTCCTTGTGAATAAAGCCACAAATATCATCATTCTCTGTGGGTCCTAGAAACCTCTTAGCTCACAGGATGCCACACAGTCAGCCCCAGGCAGGCAGGCATCACAAGGCATCCCTGGGAGGCTGGGCTGGAGCATGAGAAGCTGAGGTAAGAGGGCTGGAGTTTGAGTAGAGGAAGTGGACACCTGGCCTGCGCTCCTCCCAGGCGGCTCAGGCTCAATGACCTTGCCGCCAAGCATCCGCTGTGCCCAGCTTCCGCAGGTGTCAGATTAACCTGGCTTCTGAATTTTTTTGGATCACAACTCTATACGCTGCCTACTCAGATCTTATTTTCCGCTCACATAATAATAATGTCTCCCAACAATTAAAAAAAACAAACAGAAAAAACCTGAGTCCCAGCGAACTCTGGAAAATCAACCTGTAACAATATACATTAGTTACACCCGGAACTCCATCAGACTGTGAATTTGTCAGTCTATTTTAGGGGCTGCCTACACACCTTATTTCTATTTCTGTAAAATTGGAATCAACCCTGCTCCACAGGATTTTCATGAGGATTAAATGAGATAATTGACTTTAAGCTCAGGGCTTGGAGTATGGTTAGCCCTTGACAGAATGTAGTCAATAAGATAATTAATAATTCTATTTGATAGAGTTACTAATAAAAATTGCTATATTCCCAAGGAGGGCAGAACCGAAGGAGAGGGCCACCCAGAGAATTTCTGAATTGATGTAAGATTTTCTTGATAGAGCCAGATATGACCGGCTTGCCCACTTCAGGGATTTCCAGGGGTACAAAACCAGCTGGCTGCTGAAATGACGCACTTGCAGGCCATTGTTTTCTTATAAGGTGTGTGCAGTTTGAATTGGGGGAGAAAAAGCATTCCTTGTTCATGTTCCGGGAAAACTGAAATAGAGCAGCAGATCTTGATTGTCTGGACAAAGCTCACTCCCTTATCCATTCCCCACACTCCTGACCCCACCCCAGGGAGGAATATCTTCTGAAACCCCCTTTCTTTTAGAAAAAAGGATGGAGGGTTGGAGAGAATCCTGTTAACCCTGGCTTGGAGAGCAGTGGATTCTAGAGGTCCCTGGGAGGCGGTGGACCAAGCAGGGCTTCCATGGGCCTCAGCTGAATTAAAGGAATGTGGGCCCCGCAACCTCAGGCAGGAGCAAGGCAGGGCCACTCCACAGACAGGTGTCTGCTTTACCTGGAAGGCAGGGCCAGCGCACGGTGACCTGGTCTGTCTCCTGCTGACACTCTCTCAAACCCCTGACCCTGAGCAGCCAGGTGGGTGTGAAAGTCAGGGCCCTGTGAGGTCTCCAGCCACCCTGAGCGCCTGCCTGGACTTGAAGGCTTTGGCCCGAGCATTCAACGTTTGGCTTTGAACTTGACTGCCTTTGTCTATGATGATGAGTCTGACATACCTTTGCCTTCATGTCAAATATGTACTATAAACGTGAATGCTGGGAAGAGTTTTAATAGTTTGAGCCTGACCCTGTATGTTCATTAGAAAAGAAGATGAAAAGAGAAGAAAGGGGCTTTGAGACCCCCTTTTCTTTTCATTTCAGCAGGAGCAGCCCAGCACCTGGCTGGTCTGGACAGTGGAGCGTGTCATATGTGGGTTATGAATTTGACCATAATGTTGCTGCTTTTTTTTTCTCAATTTTTTTTCTACTAGTATTTACTAATGACCAACTGTGTGTCAGGCACTGCTCTGGGCACCAGAGGATGCCTGGCCCTGTGACGTCCCTGAGAGAGCTCACACTGTCTGGGCCCAGTGGCTTCCTTAGTACTGGGCATCTGTTGCACTCTTACCCCTTGGTGAGACTCCCAAAACTTAGCTTCCTGCCTTTCTTTTAAATATTAATTCTGAAGCAGACTATGAAGCAAGTGGCTAATGTTCCCATGTGGCTGATCAACTGGTTATAAGGAAAGTTCCCAAAGAACAGCTCCAAAATAATCCAAGCAGTGATGACCAGGTTTGAATGAGCCTGTAGCCATCTGTGCTGACTCCCAGGAAGGACCTGTTTATTTAGAGGCAGGAGTTCTGGCCTGTTTGCCAATAAGCAGAATGACAGCTGAGCCTCATTGCCTCGTTAGTCACACCTTGTCCAGGTCAAAGCCCCTCGCTCTGTGTGCCCTGAAGGACTCGATGGTGGAGCTGGAGGCTTCTTTCATAGGACGACATTTCCACCTGTCATGTGCTGATCATTAGCTGGCACTGAGAAATCTCTGTCATATACTTTTAAATTGTAATCATATTTTAATATCAGGATTGGGTCTAGACTTAATTTAAGTGATGTCTTCAATGTATTCTTTCCTTGATAAGTGATAGATTGAGAACACAAATAAGCTACTCGTCTTCTTTTTACCCTGAGCACTACCCTGGCAATGAGGTAAAAACCAAAGCTCATTGAATGAGTGGCTGAATCATATATGAAGGAGAGACTGTGCCCATTAAACTCATTTTGCATAGAAGTTTTAAAAATAACATTTACTGGGCAGGAGGATTGCTTGAGGCCTGGAGTTGAGACCAGCCTGGGCAACATAGCGAGACCCCATCTTGACAAAAAAATTTTAAAAAATAGCTGGGCATGGTGGTGCCTACCTGTAGTTCAGCTACTCAGAGGCTGAGGTGCGGGAGGATCACTTGAGCCCAGGAGTTCGAGATTGCAGTGAGCTATAATTGTGCCATTGCACTGCAGCCTGGGCGACAAAGCGAGACCCTGTCTCAAAAAGAAAAAAGGCATTTAGTTGTGTTATTAGGTATTCAAATTGAATTAGTAATTCAAATGAACTCCAGAAACATTTAAGATAAGCAAAAAGAAGAAAATAATTGTTCACATGTTTAGCATGACCCTGCCAAATCCCCCTCTCCCAGAAACACCCAAGAATGATCAATAAATACTAAAAAAAAAAAAAAAAAAAAGATTCCAATAAAAATTAACATTATTTCAAAAAAAAAAAAAAGAAAATAATTGCCCTTATAAAGCAATCCTTTCCTACTGTTTTCTAGGTTTCTCTGGGATGTACATGTGCACGTGTGACTTTGTGCCTGTGCCTGAGTGTCATCTGAGTGCATATTTCTCTTGCATCCTGTGTTGAGTTTAAGCGGGACCTAGATGTGGGTACCTGAGCCAGGTTGGGGAGGCTTGCCAGACACCTGTTTGCATGAGGAACAAGACAGGCGTGTGCTGGGAACTCACCCTGAACATAGGCAGGCCCAGGTGTGTATTTGACCCAGTGAGGGAGTGGCTCTGTGGGTACTGGGGAAGCCCAGTTTCGGTCCTTGTAGCCTGAGTTAATGTCTCTTGGTGATTTCTTTCAGAAGGGCTAGGTGGGAGGCACATTCTGGGCTGGGGACGGTGTGAGGGATCAGGGTGCCTGGGAAGTGCACAGGGTGATGTAAGATTCACAAAGAAATGAATGAGAGATGGTGCTGTGTTCAAAAACGCATGCGTGAAACAAGAAGGCTCATGCATGCGGGA
Organism: Homo sapiens; assembly: GCF_000001405.40. NCBI lineage: Eukaryota > Metazoa > Chordata > Mammalia > Primates > Hominidae > Homo > Homo sapiens. Next base: position 11,636,598 of record NC_000006.12, read on the forward strand.
GAGAGGAGAGCACGGCAATGTGGAGCTGTCTGCTGGGGTGGTCAAGGCCCTTCTCTCCTGGGTGAGGTTCCCCATCTCCTATTGCCTGTGGGCCCTGGAGATCCCTGAGCACTGTGGCAGAGAGTGCTGAGTGATGGTCCTGCTGGAAGATGTGGCCAGATCTATAAAACAGGCCAGGCTAAGCAAAGGCTTTGAATGTGAAGACGTGACCTACAGCTTCCAGAAAAGTAAGGCTTGGCTGCTGCCACATTTCACTTGAAAAAGACAAGAAGTTCAGGTTGCCACATAAGCCAACAATGGACACTCAGTTTCAACCCTGCTTTGATAGGATCATGTCCCCAAGACCCCCCAATAATAGCAACCTGGGGTGAGTTGCCTCACCTCATTAGGCCTCAGCATTCTCATCTATGAAATAAAACTTGGAATAAATGTTCTTTAGTCTTTTTTCCACTGGAAAGTTTGTTCCTCCCCTTCTCCCAACCCCTCCTCATCTCCTAGGCCTCATTTTCCACACAGCTCTCCTAGGCCCCCCTCAGCTGACCTTGGAAATTCTTCCTGGGGACCTCGGTCAAAGGGAGAGTTGCCAGAAGCTTGGAGGTCTACCACCCCCACAAAGAATGAAAATAGGGTGTTGTGTGGAAAGAGAGGAGGAGGAGGAAAGTAATTAAAGTTAATTATGGAAATAACAAGTTAGAAAGATACCCTAAGAGGAGAAAAATCCAGCCCCCATTGCTTGGTGGGTGAGGAAGTCATTCTGGTTTGGAAGTCCAAGTCCCCTAGAGAGGTTTGGGGGTGACTAGGGAGGGTCAGAGAGCAGCCTTGAGGTTTTTATTTTAAGCCACAGTGGTATCACCAATTGTTTGAAGGATTGCAGACCAGGGTAGAATAATATTTACAAAGCCAGCTGGGTAAACCCCATGTTGGCAGCCTCATTCCTCTGAAACCGAGGCCACTTCTAGAATTCCCTTTTCTCAAGTACAAGGAAAGAGGAAAGTTTTTATTTCAGTCATAAGTGGATTAAAAATACATTAAACACAAATTGCTAGAGCATATTAATCACCGATAATCAGTTCATTGATGTCTTATTGCTGCAGAGATATTTTAAGAAAGGGAGGACTTTAGTGATAACCTAGACTTAGTTGTAGAAACTTTTCTTAAAATGAAACAAGATGTGGGCAGTCACAAAAAAGCAGATAGAGCAGCTCTGGTGAGGCCCAGCACACAGGACCCCACAGCAGGGACCAAGGCTTGTCTGGGGAATCTGTAGACCTAGGTTAAGCTCAGTTCCAAACTTACTTGTGTAGCCCACCCCTCTCATTGATTCAAAAGCATTTTTTTTTTTGAGACGGAGTCTTGTTCTGTTGCCAGACTGGAGTGCAGTGGCATGATCTCGGCTCACTGCAACCTCCAACTATCTGGTTCAAGCAATTCTCCTGTCTCAGCCTCCCTAGTAGGTGGGATTACAGGCATGTGCCACCACGCCCAGCTCAAAAGCATTTGTTGAGCCCAATAGTATGCCATGTCTGTTGGAGCTTAAAAGAAAAAATTAATATAAGTCAGCCATTCTTATTGATGTCCCCTTTAACCGCATTTCCATAAATCTGGCTTGAGCTCTGGTGGTTAAATCTGTTCAGACCCTCAGGCAGGAGGCCTGGGTAAAGTGATGAGTTGAGTCTTCTTTAGCCCCCTGCAACAGGGACTTGGCAGCTGTTCCCAGAAGAGTTCACGGGCATGCCACAGTCCTGGGTGGGGAAGGACACAGGTGAAATAGGAATACTCTAGGAGACCAAGGACATGAGTGTGGTCTGGGTCATTCCTGGCCTGCGTCTGTGAGTCTTCCTTTCTATTTTCACTCCCCAAGCCAGGACTTTCTCCCTCTGCTCTTACGAGGAGCACGGCTGCAGCCGCTAACTCACCTCCTTGCCTCACACACCTCTGGTTCCTTCTTCTTATTGTCACCAAAGAAACTCTGCAGCAACAGAAATCTCAAAACAAATCCATAAGCCAAAAATTAACAGTTATGCTTGTGGGGGGAGAGAGAGAGAGTCCTTTGATGCTGCCACATTGCCTATGCCATAAAGCTGAGATTCCTCAGCATGGTGGTCGATCGTGTCCTTCAAAATCTGACTCATCTAAACTCCAGCTTTGTGGGATCCCCTGCTGTGTGTGGAACACACCATGCTGTTCCCCATCTCTGTGATGGTGTTCATGACCTTCCCTCTGCCAATAATGCCCTTCCAGCTTCCTTAGTGAGTCTCCATCCTGCTTCCATACTTAGCACAAATGTTTCTTCCACTATGAGCCCTTAGCAGAGATGAACGTTCTTTCTTCTGTGTTTCCACTTAGGGTGTACATAATCCTCCTCCATACCAACCATTTTTACTCTAATTATCTCTTTCTATGGCTGCCTTACTCCCCAGACAGGAGTGCCATCCGTTATGGCCAGTGTTCTACGATCCTGTATCTACAGTGCCTAGAATATGGCAGATGCTTACCAAAAAATACGTTTGTTGAACAAATGAATAGTCATCTCTGTTATAAAGCCAACACAGATACACTCAGGGATTTCTATGTTTTTTGTTTTTTTTTTTTTCAAAAAAAAATGACAGAATCATGTTTTACCTTCCATATCTTTGCTTTTGCAGCAGAATTTAAAGATTACCAGTTTATCAAGGACAAGAACAAAATGAGCTCGTGACACACAACCTCCCAATGGTTGGACCAGGCCATTGGGTTCAGATATATGTGTGTTCCTGTGTCTATGTGTCCTTACATCCATGCATGCTTGTGTGTATATGGGTGGTGTGTGTGTGTGTGCATGTTTGTGTGTGCATGCCTTTTGCTGCCTGGGAATGCTTTTCTTTTAAGATATTCTTGGCATTTTGTTTCTTCTAGGGCCCTTTCCCTATTTTTGGTAGAGGAAGTTTCCATTTTCATTTTTGCTTGGCCTTATTTTTCCCATATGGAATGTTTCTCTAGACCTTCATAAACTGGATTGTTGGCAGTGAACTTCTTCTAACCCTTTCAAACTAGTAATTGGGTAGAGAGAATTAAAAATTCCACCAAGTTTAAATATACATATATGAAATCTATAGCCTCTTCCAACCCTTCTTAATGGGAATAAATGAAAAACTCTATTTTTTTCCACAGGAGACAAAAAACAAAATGAAGATACAGCTATTTTTTCCCGATTGTTTTTCATTAGAAAATGGATATGTGAAGGAGTGGCGGTTAAGAACTGAATTGTGGGCCAAAAAACTTTTTAATATTCCTATGTGACTGTAACTCTGTAAGAGGACAGAGCTAAAATCGGCAGTTTCTTCTGAGTACTGCATGAAACTGACATCCTTGGGCTCCATTTAGCGCTGGTTCATAGAAGCACAGCACATGGGTTTGAGAAAGAACTCAAAGGAACAGTAAAGAGACAGAGACTCAGCATCCAGGGGAAAGAGGGAGAGAAGAGGCCAAATAACCTCCAGGCAGGAGGCCAATTTCTGCAGCTAACTACTTTATAGTTCCCCCTTTGGCCTTCGTGTGGCCCATGGTGCAGTTAAAATGATCAGGGACATTTTCATGAAGTAGTCCTTTTCCATGCAGAGACACTCAGAGCTGTGCTGGAAAGTCAGAGGCTATAGGAGCAAAGTGACAGTCGTAGCTTTGTTCACCAACTAGCAGCGCAGTGCATGAGAAATCCTCAAGATGCGTGACAACTCTGTCTCCCCCACTCCATGAAATCTGGAACTTAAGGGAACCCCAAATAACATGGGCAGAAGCATGTCAAGTGTAGCTGCAACAGATAATGGATTTTCTTGATTTCTTTTGATTTCAGAAGGGGGAGCCTTACCTTGCCCTCTTCTTGCATGAGTTCCATCTATGGAAATGTGTTCATATTCATCTCCTTTTACCTCAAAATAGACCCAATTGAAGTGGCAACTTCTGGATCTGGCCTGGTGAGAGGAATTGGCTTTAATGGTTTTTTTTTTTTTTAACTTTGGAATCTAAAAACAAGAAAATGAACCCTGCTGTCACCGAGGCCCCTCCAATATTACCCTTCAAGGCTATTTTCCATTACTCAGTGAAAAAGGAATGGAAATGTATTTTGTTAGTAAAGGAAGATTGATGAGATTTTAAACTCTATTTGCAGATTTGTAATAGTCTTCCAAAAATCCCTGTGCTCAAAGTAAAATTATGGTTTTCTTCCCTGTGACCTGTTTTGACAGAATCAGAGAAGGTTATGGCTGGATGAAACCTTAGAAATCAAACAAATCCCTCATTTACAAATGAGGAAACTAAGGTCCAGAGAGGTTAAGCCCAAGGACACTAAGCTAGTTAGTGGACCTTGAGAGAGAATGAAGAGTTGCATTTTCTTTCCAAGGAGGGCCTGATGGCTCCATTTTGTGGGTGTGCATTGCAAGTGCTTTTGTGTGGTGACACCAGAACTTTTTAGCAGAAAAGGAATTCTTTGAAATGTGAAGCCAATTCTCTCCCTGCCAAGATACTTAAAAAGCAACAGCAATGAGCTAGGACATCTGTCTATCATTGGGAATTTGGGAGGCAAATATTTTCACAGAACCTAAGTGTTCAAACAAACACGAGTAGCAAATATGGTCTCAACTCCAGCTGAGCCATTAAAACTTGGGCAAAAGAAGCAAGGGAAAATGGAAATAGAGGGTGGATAGGAAATCCAGGGCTCCAGGATTCTTGTATGAATTACATGAAAAATGAAGTTTGAGTCATTCAAAAATACATGAAGTCCTGCACCATGATCCCATAATTGTTGGTTTCAAGGAAAGAATATGAATTCATAAGTCTCCCTTTGGAACATAGGTTCATGGTGAGGAATTGGCAGAGCTGGCCTATACTTACAGGATTGGGCAACCTGAGCCAGGAAGAGTGCTGCTTTTCCCCTGAAGGGCAGGGGTGGGCTCAGAATTGTCAGGGGGCATGAGCTGGACCTGCAGGTTCTAAAATAGCTTTTAGCTGGACTTGACTGGGAAGGGGGGACCTCGTCAGGGAAAGGTTATCAATGGGAAAAATGCCGGGATGGGAGCAAGTATGGCAAGGCCAAGCCATTAGCCTGAAGTAAGACAAGGGTGAGGTGAGGGCTGCAACACAGAGCATGGGCTTAGGTCTGTTCCATTCATGGGGAGTTAGTGGGTGATATGGTTTGGCTATGTCCCCACCCAAATCTCATCTTAAATTGTAGCTCCCACAATTCTCATGAGTCATGGAAGGGACCCGGAGGGAGGTAGCTGAATCATGGAGGTGGGTCTTTCCTGTGCCATTCTCATGATAGTGACTAAGTCTTACGAGATCTGATTTTTTTTTTTTTTTGAGACGGAGTCTCGCTGTGTCCCCCAGGCTGGAGTGCAGTGGCACAATCTTGGCTCACTGCAAGCTCCGCCTCCCGGGTTCATGCCATTCTCTTGCCTCAGCCTCCCGAGTAGCTGAGCCCGGGTAATTTTTTGTATTTTTAGTAGAGATGGGGTTTCACCATGTTAGCCAGGATGGTCTCGATCTCCTGACCTTGTGATCCACCCATCTCGGCCTCCCAAAGTGCTGGGATTACAGGTGTGAGCCACTGCGCCCGGCCGAGATCTGATGGTTTTATAAGGGGTAGTTTCCCTGCGTAAGTTCTCTCATTTTCTCTTGTCCGCCACCATGTAAGATGTGCCTTTCACCATCCGCAGGATTGTGAGGCCTCCCCAGCCACATGGAACTGTGAGTCCATTAAACCTCTTTTTCTTTATAAATTTCTCAGTCTCAGATATGTCTTTATCAGCAGTGTGAAAATGGACTAATACAGTGGAAAAAGGCGAGGTGGGGACAGGTAAATCAGGCTTTTGACTTTAAGACTTCAAGTGCTTTTCAGATGAGAGATGTGTTAAGGGGAAGGTCTTCCATCCCAGAGCAATCCTTTAATCATCCTCATACACCTTCCCAAAAGGTGTGCCATGACCACAGGGTGGCCAGGAAGGCTCCCTCTAGAACTGGTGAAAATGGGAGCCCTTTGGGAGCAATATCCTCTGAACCTGTTATACCCTCTAGGGTATGAATGGAGTTTTGACACAACAGGTATTGACATAAACCTGATTCTCCTCTTCTTTGCATGGAAAAGCTGTGCTCTTTGTAGCCAGAGGAGCAGAATTCTTTACTACCCCTTTCAAAATATTCTTGCCTAGATATGAGAGGATCATCTCATCTTCACTAAAAAGTTAAAGTGAGTAGCAAACTTAGTGTTCAGGCTTATATGGGGAATATAAAATAGCCTACATGGTTGACTTGAATAACTTCCTAAAAAAATAGCTTCACCTGGTACAACAGTTACTGGAATCCCATCATTAGGGGTACATTCTTTAGCATCCACTGTAGCCCGAACACTGCAGCTCTCTTTTAAAATGCAAAATACTGCTGGGAATAAACAACACATAAAATCATTATCTTTTCAGTGTAAATTAATTCACTAGTTCAGGGGCTCAGGGAGGAATGACAGCTGTTGGTGAGGACAGCTCTTGGTGAGGACTGGAGAGGAAGGAAAACTGAGAGGTTAAAAGTAAGGGGCAATGTTTGAGAGGGGAGAAGACACCACAGGTATATTGATTTTCCCATCACGGTAGAGGACAGTCCTGGGAATCAGTGTCACTTATCTGGTTTTGATAAAACACAGAAGGACATGAGCAAACTCAGATGCCAGGTAACATCTTTTGTGTCCAGGGAAAGGCCCAGAAGACAGAAGCTGGTCCTCCCGGTGGGTTGCACTTTCATTAAACAGAGTCACCGTGCATTCACACAGTAATCTACACTTTCCAATGTACTTCCATAATTGATATTTTACTCCCTCCCCAGAGTACTGTGATGGAGTAGGCAGTAGCACTATGAGAGCAGCAAATTTTATGGAAGATGAAACTCAGCGGCTCAGGGAGGTTAACTGACTTTCTTGACGTCATAATGTCAGAGGTTCCCTGACCACCTTGATGGATTCCTAGGAGATTTAAGGATGAAACTGGTGGTGGTGGGGTCCATAACTCACTGAAATGATACTTAAAATTTGCTTTTTGCAGGTGTGTACATGCAATTTTATTGAAGAGATTTTCACCACATTCTCAAAGTAGTCATTGAACATCAAAAGCTTAAGACCTCCAGGCTTTTCAGTGTGTAACTGGAGAGGTATGGAAAAAACTGGCCAACCACAACCCTTGTGGGAAGAGAGTGGGGCCCACATGTGAAGTAGAGAGTTCAGGATGAGAGTCACAGTCCCTCTCTGCCCAACGTAGCTTAAAAGGCCCTTTCACCAGCAGCAGCGATATCACTATGTCACTACACAGCCATCAAACTTCCATCTTCATTACTTGTTCAGAGGACCCTACATGGGAACTCTCCCAGTGCTCACACACCTGCCTGGTACAGTGACAGCATTCCATCACATGTGAGCCTAACTTTAAGAAAACCAGATTATAAAAAATCATTTAGCTTCTAGTCCCAGCTACTCAGGAGGCTGAGGCGCAAGGATCACTTGAGCCCAGGAGTTCTGGGCTGTAGGACGCTATGCTGGTTAAGCATCTGCACTAAGTTCAACATCACTATGATGACCTCCCAGAAGCAGGGGCCACCAGGTTGCCTAAAGAGGGGTGAGCCAGTTCAGATCAGATACAAGCAGTTAAAACTACTGTGCTGATGAGTAGTGGGACTGCACCTGTGAATAATCACTGCATTCCAGCCTGGGCAACATAGCAAGACCCCATCTCTGAAATAAATAAATAAAAATGATAAATTTAAAAAATCATGTAAAGGATAAATATGAGAGTGGGGTAGTTTTCTACTTTACAAAATGATGCAACATATTTTTCTGAAGCAGTTTTAGGTATAAAGTGTTAGTTTATAGGATTATCATGCCTGTAGCTTACTTAGAAATATTTGACAGTGGCCAGGCGCGGTGGATCATGCCTGTAATCCCAGCATTTTGGGAGGCTGAGGTGGGCAGATCACGAGGTCAGGAGATTGAGACCATCCTGGCCAACATGGTGAAATCCCATCTCTATTAAAATACAAAAAATTAGATGGAGAGGTGGTGTGCGTCTGTAGTCCCAGCTACTCAGGAGGCTGAGGCAGGGGAATTGCTTGAACCTGGGAGGCAGAGATTGTAATAAGTCAAGATTGCGCCACTGCACTCCAGCCTAGCAACAGAGCAAGACTCCATCTAGAAAGAAAGAAATACTTGATAGTATCTAGTGTGATACTATGTGTGTTACTTTAGCTTAGGTGAACTTCATGTGCCAATCAAGAACGCCTCTTATGGGGTGACCAGGCAGGATTACATCAGAAAGGCCAGACACGTCTTTTACAAGCCCTCCTTGTTCAACAACCATTACTTTGCTGATTCTTACATAAGGTGTAAACAATAGGTTTTTATTGATGAAATTCGTGTCTTGGTAGTTAGTTTTCACTGGCAAAATTAAAGGAATTCAAGATGCATAGATTAGAGCTTAGAGGTCCTCCTTCCTTCTTGACTGAAGAGGACCTCAGAATGCACTCAACCATGGATCTGTTCCCTTTGAGGATATTTTCTTAGCTTGAGCCCCAGTTAGTCTTACAGCCATTGGTTAAGAGATGAGATAATGCAGATGGCAATGTTTTGCAATGTTTTGCATCTTGCTGAGAATTGTTGCTGTGTCTGTGGTGAGCAGACCTTTTATAGGATATGCTTGGAGCACCTAAACAGAGAGCTGAGAGCTGGGACTCCAAGTTTACAGGACTGCTTGATGAACTGTTCTGAGCTTGTTTTGGTCAGGGACTTGCTTTTTTTTTTTTATTACCTGCTAACAAGGTGGTAGAGGAAAACTAATTATTTGCCCACTCCGATTTTCTTGAAGCCCACTGCGATCTACCAAACCAAAGCAAACCAAACTCCCAAAGTTGGCCATGACCAAATTAAAATTAAATACTTTGTGGTAATGTTATTTTTCAGAGGGTCATTAATCATACACATGTAATGTAGAATTTGCCTACGTGGATTCTCAACATTTTTTTACTCGAGAGATAGCATGAGGGAAAAGGCTACCATGGAAGAGGACTGAGGAAGAGGATTTCTTCCTCCAAAGAGGTTTAGGAAGAGGAAACGAAAGGCAAGTTCAAGAAGACAGCTCGGGGTGAAGGTCCTGGTGAGGATTTCAGAGTGTAGATGAAGATCTCACCTAAAGCACTGGTGGGGAGTCCAGAGGGATGGGTTCCTTGTCTCTGGAGGGAAAGAATGAAAGCATTGGAAAGACATGCACTCCTCCCCTATAGAAGAGTTGGAGAAAGAAAGGGACAACTTCAGCCAGGCGCAGTGGCTCACGCCTGTAATCCCAGCACTTTGGGAGGCCGAGGTGGGTGGATCACTTGAGGTCAGGAGTTCGAGACCAGCCTGGCCAACATGGTGAAACCCTATCTCTACTAAAAATACAAAAATTAGTTGGGTGTGGTGGCAGGTGCCTATAATCCCAGCTACTTGGGAGGCTGAGGCAGCAGAATCACTTGAACCTGGGAGGTGGAGGTTTCAGTGAGGCGAGACTGTGCCATTGCATTCCGGCCTGGGCAATAAGAGCAAAATTCCGTGTCAAAAAAAAGAAAGTCATAGCTTCATTATTTGTTTATTTAAGAAATACTTAAATATATCCCAAGAAAAGTTCTAGCTGGCTGATTAGCAGGGAATGACCACAATATTTATGAAAGTTTTCTCTTACCATTTTCAGAAATCTGTTTGAGAATTGTCAGCATTTTAGCTTGTCTCAGGATGCCGGCATGAACCACATCTTTGCAGGTGCTCCGCTAGGACCATTTTTTGTAAAGCCAATTAATATACATTTATTTAATGTCTATCTAACTGTGCTAGGCACTGAGGAGGACAGAAGAGAAGCATTTGACTTAGTTTTGACCTCGAGAACTGATAGAAGATGCCGATTTGAAAGACATTAGACAACTAGCCACCCATTTCCAGCATTTTATGGTTTATAAGCATTATTATGATGGGATTCAGTGGAAGAGGATATTAGTGCAGGCAAATGTGAAGGCTTTGAGCAGAAGACAGGATTTAGGCTGAAGCTGTATTTTATAAGCTTAGATATTTATTTTGATAGGGAAAAGGGGAATCTTTGAAACAGAGTCAGGAGGCTGGGTGAAAATGGGGAAGAGGGAAAGTAGCCTCTACATCAGCGCAGCTATGTCACTGTCAACATGAGGGCTTAGGAGGCAACCGGCTCTGTTCACTGCTCTCTGAAGCCAGCCTTGGCTGAATTCTAGCCAGTCAAGCAGACGTCTGACCAATACTTTATATAGCAGCTTGGCAGAAAGAGTACCCCTTCCTCCACCACCATCAAGTAAAAAATGGTGAGGACAACAAAACTCACACCTAAAAAAATGTTAGGCCATGCTATGATTCACTTGCAAACCAGAATTAATCTGTAAGTCTATGAGGTGCTGGCCTGGGGGCCTAACGGGCTCGTACTCACACATGAGGGACACCAGGAAATAAGAATTCGCATGGGAGAAGAGAGGAGGACTCAGAGGAAGTAAATGTACTCAGCTTAGACTGAGTAGGAAGGGGCTTCCCAGGCCCTAGCCGACCCCACTGAGGCTGGCTTCAGGTGGGCAGATTTCACTACTGCTGCCCACCTCAGCATGCAGAAAAGGTCATTATCAGCACATAAACAAAACACACTAATCTAAAACACTTTGCTTTCATTGAAATCAAACACAATTAACTTATTATTTTAACTACCCAGTAGAGTCCAAGGTGGAATTTTAAAAACCAAGGAAAAGAATATGATAACTTTCAGAGAGTTCAAAGAACAGTCAGGCCATTTTATCAGTACAATTGTTTTGGAGGTCACTGTTTTCTGAAAGAATTAAAAGTGGAAAGGTCCTCAGGGAGCATCTGTCCACCCTCCTCGTTTTACAGATGAGGGCGCAGAGGCTGGAGACCGAAGGCACTTGCCTCAGTTACTTAGTCATTTAGAGCAGGGTCAAGGTTGGGACGAGATTGCAAAGAGTCTGGGTGAAGTCCCATGCTCTTTCAATTAAATTTGCCAGCTAATTATGAGTATTTAATTAACCTCATAGTTTTTTAAAAGCTTTGATGAAATAAAATTCATATAACGGATAATTCACCCCTGTGACGCTTACAGATCAATGGCCTTTACCATATCCACACAGTTGTGCACCCATCAGCAGAAGCAATTTTTAGAACATTCTCATTATCCTAAAAAGAAATTTCACACCCCTTAGCTGTCAGTCCCTGATACGCCTATTTGGCTATTTCTGCATCTTCTTGGGAGAAATAGCCGTTCAGAATGCCTCCTAAGTCTTAGGCAACCACTAATCTGCTTTCTGTCTCCGCAGTTTGCCAGTTCTGGATGTTTCATAGTATGAAGTCATATAATATGGGGTCCTTTGTGACTGGCTTCCTTCACTTGATATGTTTGTGGGTTTTTTTGTTTTGTTTTTTTTCTTTTTGAGATGGAGTCTCGCTCTGTTGCCCAGGCTGGAGTGTAGTGGTGTGATCTCAGCTCACTGCAAGCTCCACCTCCCAGATTCAAGCAATTCTCCTGCCTCAGCCTCCCGAGTAGCTGGGACTACATCACTTGGCATGTTTTTAAGGTTCATTCATGTTGTAGCATGTATTTATACTTCATTTCTTTTTGTTGCTGAATAATATTCCATTGTATGGACATACCACATTTTATTTATCCTTTCATCAGTTGATGGACATTTGGGTTCTTTGTGCTTTTTTGCTATGATGAATAATGCTGCTATGCACATTTGTGTACAAGTTTTTGTGTAAACATGTGTTGTCATGTCTTTTGGGTATATACCTGGGAGGTGAATTACTGGCATCTATGGTAACTCTGTGTTTAATCATTCAAGGAACTGCCAGACTGGTTGACTGCAGAATGGTTTCCAAAGCAGCTGCAGCATTCTGCATTCCCATCAGCAGCATATTAGAGTTCTGATGTCTCCACATTCTCACCAACACTTGTTATTATCTGTCTTCTCTGTTAGAGTTATTTTAGTGGGTGTGAAGTGGTGACAGACAGGACTAGCCAGATTTCTTAGGCCGACTAAGAATTCCACAGCCTAGCTGGGAAAGGTGACCGCACCTACATTTAAACACTGGGCCTGTAACTCAACTCACACCCAACCAATTAGGTAGTAAAGAGGGCTCACTAAAATATAAATTAGGCTAAAGCAGGAGGATAAAGAAATAGTCAAATCATATATCGCCTGAGAGCACAGGGGGAGGGACAATGATCGGGATATAAACCCAGGCATTCGGGCAGGGAGCAGCAACCCCCTTTGGGTCCCTTCCTATTGTATGGGAGCTCTGTTTTCACTCTATTAAATCTTGCAACTGCACACTCTTCTGGTCCATGTTTGTTATGGCTCGAGCTGAGCTTTCGTTCGCGGTCCACTACTGCCGTTTGCCGCCGTCACAGACCCGCCTCTGACTTCCACCCCTCTGGATCCGTCAGGTTGTCCACTGTGCTTCTGATCCAGCGAGACGCCCATTGCCGCTCCCAATCGGGCTGGAGGCTCGCTATTGTTCCTGCATGGCTAAGGGCCCAGGGTTCGTCCTAATCGAGCTGAACGCTAGTTGCTGGGTTCCAGGGTTCTCTTCTGTGACTCACGGCTTCTAGTAGAGCTATAACACTCACCGCATGGCCCAAGCTTCCATTCCTTGGAATCCGTGAGGCCAAGAACCCCAGGTCAGAGAATAAGAGGCTTGCCCCCGTCTTGAGAGTGGCCCGCCATATCTTGGGAGCTCTAAGAACAAAGACCCGCACGTAACAGTGGTATCCTATTGTGGTTTTGATTGATCCTTGGGGGCTAATGACACCCAACATCTTTTCATGTGCTTGCTGGCTACTTGTATGTCTTCTTTGGTAAAATGTCTGTTCAGCTTCTTGCCTGCTTTCAACTGGGTTATTTGTCTTGAGTTGTCATAGTTCCCTATATATTCTAGATACAAGTCCCTTATTAAATGTATGATTTGTGAAACTTTTCTTCCACTCTATGGGCTTTTTCACTTTCTTGATGGTGTCTTTAAATCATATATGTTTTTAATTTTGATAACCTCGTAGGACTTTAAACGGTGAATTATTTTTTCTTTGCCTTTGGGTCATTAACAAATAGACATTAATAAACGTGGTGATAAAAATGTTTGCTAAGGAATACATGGTGAAGTGATCTGTAAGAGGGAATTCCAGATTAATATAAAAGGCAAAATGAATGGATAGAAACTGTAGCATTAGACGAAACAGCAGGAAGTAGGGTACGGTGGGAGAAGATGTGGTGTGGAGAAGGGCAGTCCTATATATGCAGGAATCACTCCAGTTGCCGAATACCAAAAGGCCCCTCTTCAGTGTCATTGTCAGAAGGAAATATCCTTGAGGGACAGAACTCACGTAATTAAGGACAACCACAAGGAGATTATAGTTTATAATTTTCTGCATGTTCTTAGAATAAACAGACCCCCCATAGCAATAACTACTTATTAATGAAGTCAGGTGTGCATGCTCATTCCTAGCCTGGTTAGTCTATGGCATGCACATAACACAGAATTTTTGATGGATGAATATTTATTTATGCATGAGTAGCACGGATATTACACTTGCAGATGAAGCCAGAGTTCCAGGTTGCTATCATCATTGTATGAATAGAATGGAGTTGTTTTTCCTTATTATTTTCCTTGTCTTTCTCCCTTCACCTCCCCCAACCTTGCCACTTCCCATCTAAACACAGGAATATACTAATCAGGGAAATATGCACTGCTGTTTAGCAAAGGGGTCAAACCCATTTGGATGGAATTCCAGGCTCAGCAGGCTAACAATGGCAGGAAACTGGGCCCTCAAGCCGGCTGCACCGGGGGGCTGTTGAGCGATAGCTTGTTGAAAGAGGCGGCCCTGGGGTATGCTACTTTGGCTTGCTTTATGTTTGGAATGCTGCGATTGTTCCAGACACAATGAGGGATCTGTCTGTCCACACAGGAGCAGTTATAATTACAGGAACAGAAGCTAAATTACTGCTCTTAATTGCAAATGATTCCATTGCAGCCTGTATACAACTCTACTAATTTGTCCTCTGGGCTTTATGGGGGCAGGCAGGATTTTTAATTTAATGTCTTTGGTGATTATGCTTTATGTCCACTTCAAATTGTAATGCCCTGCCGGTGAGGCCAGGGTCCCTTCTGCTTCAAGTTCATACCCTTCTGTACTACCTGTCTTGTTGATTTTGATGATTCAGGCCAGTACATGATGTTGCCTCTGCTGAGAAGACAGGGTGTTCAAAGTGCATCTGACTCTGGTGTCCTAAAACCTTGCTTTGTTGCTGCCTTTAAGGGGCAATCATAACATCCTGTAGAGAGGTCTTCTTGTGTATGTGACTTAGGAAACACTTCCTACTTAGGAAAGAAGGTTGACATCTGGCCTGGCATTGTGTTCTGGAAAAGGCAGCTGCAACAGATGTGAGTTTATAGCAAACATCATCAATAAGTGGATGCTCTTTTATTGTGGAGTAGGATCTCTGTCCCTTTGTCTGTTAGGAAGTGCTTTGGGAAGATTCACCACCCTTGATAATTTAAACATCATTCCTTCATTCATTCATTCATTCAGCAACTGTTATTTGAAGGTCTACTATGTGCCAGTATTAGGAGTGGGATGAAGAGTAGAGTAAGAGAAGGCCTACGCTATGAGCTTACAGTCTCTGTAGGGATCCAAACACATAAATGAGTAAGGCAGTGTGATAGTGTCATGGCAGAATTTTACACGTTTCATGGCCTGCAGATAAGAAGTGAAGAATATTCCCAGAAGCAGCCACAAACCTTTCCTTCCAGAACATTGTCCAGAACTGAAACATGGACCAATATTAAAACAGTCACTGGTAAGTGGATAGGCTAACTCTTCGATCAATCAGGCCTGCCCAAGGAAAAGGGAGAAGAGACAGCTTTCCTAGAAGCATAGGGCAAAGGTGGGAGATTTAGGTGTCTGAACGAAATCCAGTCTCTGTTTAAAGAAGAAGACAGAATGATGCTGAGAGACACCCAATAATATCCATCACCTCAGACAGACATGTCAGAGAGCTCACTCTGGCAGCAATGTAGGGATTGGGGATGATGGGGCAGATTGAAGGCAGGGACATAGTTGGGAGGTGCTGTGGGATTCAGGGAGGGGGCTGAGAGCTGGAACTGAGGCAGAGATACGTGCCAAAGAGAGGAGGGATCAGTTCTGAGAGCTGCAAGGAAGAAGAATTTATAACAGTGATTCTTAAGCACTGGGGGAACGTTGGCCCCAAATAATCTGATGCTAGCAGTTTTACATTAAATGTCAAGCTTGCCAACTTGATCCATTAGCATCAGTGTGACCTCCATGACCAGGAAGCTGGACTGGTCAGCCCTTTGTTGGGCCACTCTTGGTTCTGATGGAACCAGAGATTTTTCTTTTCTGGGGCGAGTTGGGGACAGAGTCTCGCTCTGTTGCTCAGGCTGGAGTGCAGTGGTATGTTTTCGGCTCACTGCAGCATCTGCCTCCCGGGTTCAAGCAATTCTCCTGCCTCAGCCTCCTGAGTAGCTGGGATTACAGGTGTGCGCAACCACGCCTGGCTAATTTTTGTGTTTTTAGTAGAGACGGGGTTTTGCCATGTTGGCTAGGCTGGTCTCCAACTCCTGACCTCAAGTGAGCTGCCCGACTCGGCCTCCCAAAGTGCTGGGATTACAGGTGTGTGCCACCACAACTAGGTAATTTTTTGTATTTTTAGTAGAGACAGGGTTTCACCACATTGGCCAGGCTGGTCTCGAACTCCTGACCTCAGGTGATCCACCCGCCTTGGCCTCCCAAAGTGCTGGGATTACAGGTGTGAGCCACCATGCCCAGCCGCACCAGAGATTTCTTTTTTTTGTTTGTTTTTGAGACAGTTTCACTCTGGAAGTTGCCCAGGCTGGAGTGCAATGGCGCAATCTCAGCTCACCACAACCTCCACCTCCCAGGTTCAAGCGATTCTCCTGCCTCAGCCTCCCCAGTAGCTGGAATTACAGGCATGTGCCACCATGCCTGGCTAATTTTGTATTTTTAGTAGAGATGGGGTTTCTCCATGCTGGTCAGGCTGGTCTCAAACTCCCGACCTCAGGTGATCCGCCGGCCTCGGCCTCCCAAAGTGCTGGGATTATAGGCATGAGCCACCGCGCCCAGCCATTGGAGATTTCTAACCACATCATGCAGG
Source organism: Homo sapiens (assembly GCF_000001405.40). NCBI lineage: Eukaryota > Metazoa > Chordata > Mammalia > Primates > Hominidae > Homo > Homo sapiens. The sequence goes on from NC_000006.12 coordinate 11,652,846, forward strand.
AGGAGGATGGATGAGAAGCAGCATTGATCAGGCACTGGCTACCTATATCACCCACTGCTTCTATAAGTACTCGGCTCAGCCCTCATAGTGATGCTCTGATGCCCATCAAGCAGATGGGGAAACTGAGGCATTTATGCAGTTCAATGTCATACCCCTGGAAAACAGCAGCTATGGGATTCCAGCTTGGGTTTGTGTGAGTCATAACATGACTCTGTCTTCCACCGGTGCTGCCATATTTGGTCCACACGTGAATTGCTGTGATTACCAGCTTTTTTCTTTCCTGGAGACCTTTGGTGGCCTCTATTTATGCAGCTGAAGGAGACACTTACGACCTCATTCCTGACAGTTTTGGGAGCTGACAGCAGAACATTCAAAGAATGACATCAAGTGGCTTTCCTCAGGGTCATTTCCTGCTAGTGATCTCTGCAAAGATCACATTCTTTAAGGATGTGTGGGGGTCAGAAACAGACCCTATTCTGTCAGGCGAGAGATGCCTGGAGCAGCTGTAATGGGCAGACGTGTGTGTGTGTGTGTCTGTGTGTCTGTGTGTGTGTGTGTGTGTGTGTGTGTGTGTGTGTACATCCTCTGTGACATGCTTTGCTGGTGAATACAACCCCTCCTCCCCCGGCCACACTTCGCTAAAAACAAACCAGGTCTGCTGGGGTGCATGACTCATGCTTGAACCGGAGTCTTCACCCTGAGACAATAATTCTCATTTTAAAAGCAAATGCTGAAGTCAACAGCTGCTGGGGTGACTTTGCCTATCTTAATTTGGCTTGTTAGAGACAGCACCTCCTTAGCTGCTTGAAGGAGAACTTAAGTGGACCTTCCATGACTCTGTTCCTTTTCCTATCCAGGGCTCACATAAGAGTTGTCTGCAGCTGGAGACATGAAACAGTGATAGGATTTGGAGTCAGGGTGTCCTGATTTCATGTGTGTGTTCTGCCCTTTTATTACCACACGGTGGTGGGCAATTTACCCACCTGAGCATGAGGTGCCTCACCTGTGGAATGGATGGAACCCTGCTGTATTGGAGAATGTTCACCCATTCAAGATAACGCATGTGAAGCACCTGCCATACAGTAGATGCTCAATCACGTGGATGTTAGCATTGACTTTGTTGCATGTTCTCTGCTTAGCTATCATTTCTCTCTTCCTCCTTTATTTTGCATTAATTTATTTCTGTAAAGGAGGAAGCTGCTGGGCACAGTGGCTCACACCTGAAGTCACCACTTTGAGAGGCCAAGGCGGGAGGATCACCTGAGGTCAGGGGTTCAAGACCATCCTGGGGAAAATAGTGAGACTACCGTCTCTAAAGAAACATTTTAACAAATTAGCCAGGCATGGAGGTGTGCTCCTTGTAGTCCCAGCTACTCGGGAGGCTGAGGCAAAAGGCTCACTTGAGCCCAGGATTTCAAGTTACGATTGTGTCACTGCACTCCAACCTGGGTAACAGAACAAGACCCTCTCTCAAAAAAATTTTTAAAGGAGGAAGTCATCAGTTATGTATATCACACAGATTCACTGGTGACTTTGCCACCTTTTCCATCCCTTTGAAGTTCTGCATCGCCGGTGGGAGGACGTTGGTCAGAGCAAGCAGAGTGTGGAGGCAGAAGCAGAGAGCGGAGGACCTCAACTCTCTCTCTCCCTGGGCTCTGCTCTAACTTGATAAGGGCCCACGGGAACATCACCTAAACTCTTGGGGGCCTGTGTTCATTTGTCTGTAAAAAGAGGGGCTTAAATTAAATGATCATTGAACCCTCCAAGCTCTTGCTGGGCTGTTTCTGGGGGCTCTTCTCTCTGGAGTATTGATTTGAATTTTGGTGCTGAGCCAGCCAGTGCACGAAATACTACCACTTTGCTCAGTCTCGTAGATGTTTTTCTGTATTTCCTATGTTCAGCATAAAGGGGGCCAGCCCACTACTGCCTTTAACATGAATTGCCCTTCGGAGTATGGAGCACGAGGCGAGCAGCGCTTGTCTCCGCTAATAGACCTACACATTTCCAGGAGAATTTTTTTTTTCTCCTTGCTACTCACAACACATCACTTGTTTATGTGAGGGTTTTTACACACAGCTGATTTATAAGGGATTAGATTTCTCTAAAACATAATCTGCGTTGGTTCTATTGGCCAGTTAAAATTGGTATCCCAGCACAGCTTGTTAAGACATTACATATCATTCCTCTTGTTTTTCTCACACTCAGGAATGATAGGTTAAGAAATATGATTCTAGTTCATAAAAGCCTGAGAGGGACTAACTGGGCTCTATTTATGTTTTATCCAAGAATGTGGAATTTGAAGCTTTTCTCAAAGTGAAAGTTGACCCACTGGACCCGTGTGCTTGGGCCAAATATGAGTATGAGAAACATTCTCAAACCTTTTTGGAATCCTAGGCCAGTAGACACTGAAGGGGCCTAAAGGATTTCTGGGCAATTCCTTCTCCTTCTCTCATGCCACAATAATTATTTGCACTTCTTGCCCTTCTTTTAGCTCAAAAGTGAACTCTGCATGAAGCATATTACCTTAGAGAAAATGTTCACTTAAAGAAAGCCACCTGTTCAGGAAAACAAATTGTCCCCAAGAGGCGTGGTGGAACGCAGGTGGGGAATTTTGTCTTCAATAAGGAGAAATTTAAATTCTCTATATTCTTAGAAATTTACCAAATTGGTTGCACTAGGGTTTTTTTTTTTTTTTTTTTTTTTTTTTTTTTTTTTTTGAGACGGAGTCTCGCTTTGTCACCCAGGCTGGAGTGCAGTGGCGTGATCTTGGCTCACTGCAAGCTCCGCCTCCCGGGTTCATGCCACTCTGCCTCAGCCTCCCGAGTAGCACCAGGGTTTTTAATATCCAGTTCAACCGGGAGACATTTGTACTCTGCGAAGGCTGAGGCGTCCGTGTAAATTTGGCCACCAGGTGGCACCAAATGTTTTCATTAGAAAAATTGCTGAGGGAAAGCCTGGTCCGCATTCTCTCTCCTAGTTAAAAGGAAAAAAAAAGAAAAAGAAAACCCTTTAAAGTGAGTGTTGTCGGTTCATTCACCCAAATTCAGGAAGCATGTGCCTTTCTTATTTGCTAGCGCTTTGGCAGTACACTGTGGCAGTTCAGGGTGAGTTATTTCCTTGAAGTTTGTTAAAAGGGAAACATGGATGAAATTCAAGACTTGAAACAAAGCTTTATTGGAGCTTTGCAGGACAATTAAAATCCAGTCTCTCAGCCAACAAACGGTTCCATCAACCCCCTTCTAGGCCTAGCAGGACACAGGATGCCCAAACAAAAGGCAGAACAGGGAGGCATGGCTGGGTTTTTCCTTTTATCATTTGCTGCACAATCTTATTCTTTCAGATCCCAAACCAGCTTTTATGGTCTGGTTAAAATTTTGTTCTGTTTAGAAAAGAGGGTATCCTAAAGCAATCTAACTGAGCAGGGGTTGTTGCAGAGGGACACCCGCCTGCTTTCAGATGTGAGTGCTGCTGGGGATGATGTCTTTCTGCCCCTGCTCATGGTCTCCAGAAGAAAGTGCTGGCACGCTAAAGATAGGAAAAACATTGGCCAATTTATTGCTAAATTTCAATTCTTAAGAAGTGTTTTTTTTTTTGAAGTAAAAGAGGTGTGCATTCATTTATTTATTCATTCATCCATTCATTTGATGAATATTTATTGAGTGTTCACTGTGCCAGGCATCGTATTTAGAAGCCAGGGGAAGAGTGGTAACCAAAACTACGTTCCAGCTTTGGGCTGCTTCTAGTCTAGAGGAAGAAGCAGATACTCGTCAAGCCACTCGCATGAATGTGCATCAACAAGCTGCGGGAGGTGCTTTAAAGGCAAAGATTGCTGTCCCTGGATGTTGTGGAGCTAATGAAGTTGACCTAGATTCGTGGAGTGATGGGAATAGGCAGTGTTCCCTAACGAGGGACCCTGGAGCTGAGATTTGAAGGATGAGGAGGAAGTAATTAGGCAAAGGGATGGGAAGAGGTGAGGAAGATTTAGGCCAGGGAATTGCAAATTCAAAGGCCATGGGAGGAGAGGGAGAATGACAAGTTTGAGTTCAGCGTTTGAGATGCAAGTGTGGAGGGAACTCAGTAAGCGAAGCAGGAATGGATGCAGTTACAGGAGTAAAAGCTCACCATGAGTTCTCCACTTTCCTCTGTGTTTGGTATACTTTTCCTCTGCCAAATGGGAGAAGAAAGGTCAACACACACACACACACACACACACACACACACTCCAAAACTCTATCAATTACCAGATCTCTACTAGTCGCCTGCTTTGATAGGTGGTCTGTGGTATGGTTGGCTTGGAGCCAGTGTCCAAATATTTGAGAAAAGTTTGGGCATTTTTCCCCCAGTACAGTAACCTGTTTAAATGGACACAAGTACCACTGGGGAAGGCTGAGAGGAAAAGTCACAGAACATACTTGGCAATTTTAGCAGAAAGTGCTGCCTTAAGCATCCCTATTTTCCCTTTAGTGAGGGGATGTGGGTCTGGGAACTGACTCGGTCTTAGACACGACCCCAAGTTTCTGATGTAATAGCAGCCCCCATTCACCAGACCTGGAGTTTTTTCAGTTACACGCCAAGTTAGGCCGGAAATCCTGCGATCAACTGGCCACACCCTAAGATCCCTGCAGTTCAGTTCATTCTGGTAAGCCCTAATGTCTTGTAAGATGACTATACCCATTTCTATCTTACTATTCTAGTGTACCTATTTGTCCTTTTCCACCCGGGCCCTTCCCACATGCTTGGTATCAAGCAGTCCTTTTGGATGGTAGCATCTTCCACCACTATTCCCAACTCACAGAGAAGAGCCTCTACACTCTTTTCAAAGATGCCGGTGTTTGCCTTACCAGTGTCTATCCCAGGCTTTGATGACGGGATTGCCTATAAGGCTACAGCCACATTCCTCTCTTGACACCTATGAGTTCTTTTGTTATATTGAACCTTACAGTTTCTAGCTTCTCAACTTTCCCTAGACTGTACTTCCAATGGAGCCCTGGACTTCTTGGGCCAGCAAGTAAACTATCAGAACCACTCTCAGCTGCCCCAGCTAACACCACTAGATCCAGAATCGTGGGTGAGTGCACAGTGCACCCACGTTTACCCTGATCAAAGTGATGTTCCTTCCTCTTGACCAATAGCCTTCAGGATGCCTTTCCTCACATATTCCCACATCTTTGCCAATATAATTAAGTCCTGTAAGTCTTTTGGTGGTTGAATTCCCTTCTCCCCTAGTAAGTGCTGGGGTCTGACTTTAGTTACAAGTCTGGGGATGTGGAAGATGAGTGTGTAAAGGTGAGGGGTGGGGGTAGGGATAGAGCATTAAGTGAGTCTGTCCCTCTGCCAAGGTAACTGATGGCCACTGAGAGAAGTTAACAGTGTCTTCAGGCCAGACATGAAGAGCCTAACCAGGGAACGCAGAGGAGGAGGGAGCTCAGGGTGGGTTGTGGGTTGGGGAAATTGAAGGTCTCCAAATCCTGCTCTATATTCCCATTCCATTTGTCTCTTTTCTAATCAATGTCCTTACATATACAAAAGAAACATAATGAAGATTTGAGTACAACTGATAATGTAATTTGGCAAACACAGAACAAACTTTGCCTTTGCTTTCCAGCTACCTCAGCCCATTCTTTTGGCATTGTCAGAGAAATCTCTGGTTAAAGAAAGTCCGTGCCTTGTGCTTTTCATGTGTCTTTCAATGCCAGTGCCCCACAGGACCACATCTCTTGGACCGTTTTCATTTTGGTGCACGCACCCAGACTCCCAACTGCCTGCGTTCACATCTCTACCTGAAGACTCTCTGGCTTCCAGAGGTTACTCTGACCATGTGAGGCAGACAAGAAGGGCAGGGAACAGCCCCTTTTGGGAACAGTGCTCAGCTGATGACTGGTGGGAATTGGTGCAGAAACACCCCAGCTGCCTTGTCCTTTGGATGGGGTGGTTCTTTTCTTTCTTTCTTTTTTTCTTCCTGAGATGGTGTCTCGTTCTGTTGCCCAGGCTGGAGTGCAGTGGCGTGATCTTGGCTCACTGCTACCTCTGTCTCCTGGGTTCAAATGATTCTCCTGCCTCAGCCTCCAAGTAACTGGGATTGCAGGTACAAACCACCACGCCTGGCTAATTTTTAGTAAAGACAGGGTTTCACCATGTTGGCCAGGCTGCTATCGAACTCCTGACTTAAAGTGATCCACCTGCCTCAGCCTCCCAAAGTACTGGGATTACAGGCATGAGCCACTGCGCTGGGCCTTAGGTAGGGTAGTTCTGAGATGCATATTTTACTCTTTTCCCTGGAGTGCGTGCGTGTAGCTGAGCTCACAAAGTAGGGGAATTTTCTCTCAAACTCTGAAGAATGTCCAAGTGGAAGGCAAATCCCAAATTATAACTGGTCATCTTTGAACAATCGTGGACCTTGAGGGGTTTGAGGGCTCTAGATTTGGGACAACTGGTACTACCTCTTCCAAAAAGTAAAATTTACTCAGAAGTGCTTGTAGGGAGGCATCAGATATGGTCTTGAGTTGTAAAAGTTCGCCAAACCTTGTACAAATTATGAATCAGAGCAGCTTTTAAAGTAGAAGAGGCTCAGTATAATTGGGTGTTCTTAAGTGAAAAATGTGAGATAAGAAAGCTGTCCTTTTTGATGTCCCTTTGAATTCAGAATTTTAAGCGGATGCACATACAAATGTTTGGAATTGAGACTTAGAATTTCTAATTCTCCAGCTAGGTGCTCCCCATGGCATGGTGGAAAGATCACACTAGGAAGATGTCAGCATTGCCACTGGCCAGTGGTGGGATCTCAAGCAAGTCCTTCATGTCTCTTACCTGTATGAGAAGAGTGTGGAATTAAGTAATTTTAGGGTTTTCCTACCTCTACCATTTTATATATCAAGGGATATAGGAAGAAAGAATGTAAGAAAGAAAGGAAGGGAGGATGGAATGAAAGATTTCTTTTGGGTTTCCCATGTATCATGGCCTTTTAATTCCTCTAACAATACCAAAGGGAAGACATTATTATTTTCATTGCATGGTGAGGAAGTGGAAGTTCAGAGAGGTTAAGTCTCTTGCCCAAGTCTACCCAGCAACTGAACATCACTCAAACCCATATCTGTCTGGCTCTGAAAGTCATGTACTTTCCACAAAACAACACTGTTCCATGCTTTAGGGGAAATGAGAGTCAGCAACGATATGCTTGGGTGTTTTTCCTTCCCCTGGCCTTGGGGACCCTCTCTTGGCTGCCTGGGCATTTTTCATGTTGCTCAAGTCCGAGGCTACCTCATTCCAGCAGGCATGCCATTGTCAGTGGCCTACATTGACCCTCTTTCTTCCAATAGTTCCAGCTTTTCTTGCTGTTGCTGAAATGTGCAGTCAGGAGATTGTGGAGTACACTGAATGTACTACCCAGGCTCTCAGGACCGAGTGCTGAGAGTTTGCTAATCTGGTAAATATATACAGGAGAAGAGTAAGGCACCAGAACATCTTACTGCCTTGACACTGTGCAGAGAAATAGATGCCCAAAGATGTAAGGCTTTAATCCAATAGCCTTAAAGCATACATTCCTAGAATGGAATATACCCCTGCCATGAAAATGAGTGACTAATCTGAATATTTCTCACCAAAATAGTTTTAAGTAAAAGAAGCCACATTATACTTTATGATTTCATTTATATAAAGTTCAAAACACAGGGAAAACTAAGCTATTGTATTTAGGGATATGTAGTTAGGTTGTAAAGATTAAAAAGAAAAGTAATTAAGTAATTTCTCTAACAATCAATATAGTGACTGCTTCTAAGGAAGAGGAGAAGTCAGTGGTATTCAGGAGGAAGCCCCAGGGAGGTGTCAGGGGGTGCTGGCCATGTTCCTTACACCTAGATGGTGCTTAGGTGGGTGGTTGCTTTTTAGGGATTATTTACATTGAGCTGCACATTTTTGCATTTTCCTTATGAGTATTATACTTTGTAATTTTTTTAAAAAGGCAATTCTGACAACTCCACACACATATATATTTGACAACTTAAATGAAACAGATCAATTCCTCAAAAAGTACAAAATAGCACAATCCACCCAATATGAAATAGGTAACTTGAAAACCCTGTAACTATTTAAAAATTGAATTTATATTGTAAAAACTTAGAAAGAAGAAATCTCTAGACTCAGTTTTTCACTGAAAAATTAGACCAAATATTTAAGTGAAAATTAATACCAATTTTACACAGTATCTTTCAAAGAGTGGAGGGAGGGAACACTTTCCCAACTCATTCTGTGAGGCCAGTTATTACCTTGTACCAAAACAAAGACAATACAATAAACTACAGATTAATATCCTTTATGAATACAGCTGCAAAAATTCTTCATAAAATGTTAAGTTGAATTTAGCAATGTATAAAAAGAATTATATCCTATGAGCAACGGAGATTTATTCCAAGGATGCAAGCCTGACTCAATCTTAGCTTTTTTTTTCTTTTCTTTTCTTTTTTTTGAGACAGGCCCTTGCTCTCTCGCCTAGACTGGAGCGCAGTGGCAGATCTCGGCTCACTGCAACATCCGCCTCCCTGGTTCAAGGGATTCTCTTGCCTCAGCCTCTCAAGTAGCTGGGATTACAGGCACATGCCACCATTCCCAGGAAATTTTTGTATTTTTAGTACAGATGGGGTTTCACCATGTTGGCCAGGCCTCCAACTCCTCAAAAGTGCTGGGATTACAGGCATGAGCCATCACGCCCGGCCTCAATCTTAGTTTTTTTTAAAAAATAATTTCAACTTATATTTTCGATTCAGGGGTACATTGAGTGATGCTGAGGTTTAGGGTATGATTGATCCTGTTGCCCAGGTACTGAGCATGGTACCCACTGGTTAGTTTCTCAATCTTTATCCCCCTACTTCCCTCCTCCCCACTAGTAGTCCCCAGTGTCTCTTGTTGCCATCTTTATGTCCATGAGTACCCAACGTTTAGCTGCCACTTATAAGTGAGAACATGCAGCATTTGGTTTTCCGTACTTGTATGAATTTTCTTAGGATAATGCCCTCCTGCTTCATCCATGTTGTGACAAAGAACATGATTTTATTCTTTTTTATTTTTATTTTTTTCTGAGATGGAGTTTTGCTCTTGTAGCCCAGGCTGGAGTGCAATGGCACTATCTCAGCTCACTGCAACCTCCACCCCCCAGGTTCAAGTAATTCTCCTGCCTCGGCATCCCACGTAGCTGGGATTACAGGCATGTGCCACCACCCCAGCTAATTTTGTATTTTTAGTAGAGATGGGGTTTTGCCATGTTGGTCAGGCTGGTCTCGAACTCCTGATCTTAGATTATCTACCCTTCTCAGCTTCCCAAAGTGCTGGGATTACAGGCATGAGCCACCACGCCTGGCCTGATTTCATTCTTTTTTATGGCTGCATAGGATTCCAGGTGTATATGTTCCATATTTTCTTTATCCAATCCATCATTGATAGGCACCTAGTTTGATTCCATGTCTTTGCTATTGTGCATAGTGCTGTGATGAGCACGTGAGTGCATATATCTTTTGGTAGAATGATTTATATTATTCTGGATATATACTCATTAATGGGATTGCTGGATTGAATGGTAGTTCTAAGTTTTTTGAGAAATAGCCTAACTGCTTTCTACAGTGGCTGAACTAATTTACATTCCTACCAGCATTGTATAAACATTCTTTCTTCTCTGCAGCCTTGTCAACACCTGTTGCTTTTTGACTTTTTAATAATAGCCATCCTGACTGGTGTGAGATGTTATCTCATTGTGATTTTATTTGCATTTCCCTGATGATTAGTAATGATGAGCATTTTTTCATATTTGTTGGCTACTTGTACATCTTCTTTTGAGAAGTGTCTGTACATGTCTTTTGCCCACTTCTTAATGGGGTTATTTTGTTTTTTGCTTGCTGAATTAAGTTCCTTATAGATTCTGGATATTAAACCTTTGTCAGAGGCATTGTTTGTGAATATTTTCTCCTATCCTGTAGGTTGTTTATTTAGTCTATTGATAGTTTCTTTTGCTGTGCAGAAGCTTTTTAGTTCGATTAAGTCCCATTTATCAATTTTTGTTTTTGTTGCAATTGCTTTTGAGAACTTAGTCACAAATTCTTTCTCAAGGCCAATGTCCAGAATGATGTTTCCTAGGTTTTCTTCTAGGATTCTTATAGTTTGAGGTCTTACATTTAAATCGATAATTCATCTTGAGTTAAGTTTTGTATATGGCAAATGGGGTCCAGTTTCATTTTTCCACATATGGCTAGACAACTACCACAGCACCATTTATTGAATAGGGAGTCCTTTCCCCATTGCTTAGTTTTGTTGGCTTTCTTGAAGATCAAATGGCTGTAGATGTGCAGCTATATTTTTGGGTTCTCTATTCTGTTCCACTGGTCTATGTGTCTATTTTCGTACCAGTACCATGCTGTTTTAGTTACTGTAGCCTTATACTATAGTTTGAAGAAAAGAAGAAACCCTCTGACTTTGTTCTTTTTGGTTAGGAGAGCCTTGGCTATTCAGGCTCTTTTTTTGGTTCCACATGAATTTTAGAATAGTTTTTTCTAGTTCTGTGAACAATTACATTGGTAGCTTGATAGGAATAGTGTTGAATCTGTAGATTGCTTCAGGCAGTATGGCCATTTTAACACTATTTATTCTTCCAATCCATGAGCATGCATGGAATTGTTGTGTAGGAAAAATCTTGTCACATGACAAGGAAATATTAGGCTCACAGACATGTTGAAGGATGAGATGGGCAGGGTTTATTGGGTGAAAAGGAAAAAAAAATTGGGAAACAGGGACTCTCCACAAAGCGAGAGTCCTGTTAGCTGGCTTCCTGCCTCACAGATTGAATCCCAGGTTACCATCCCAGAACAGGAGAGGCCAGGCTCCTCCCCACTGCAAAAGGTGTGAACTTCCTACAGCTCCATCCCATTCTTTCAGTGCTCAGGCCTGTCAGAGGTTCTCCGGGGACTCCTTTACACTTGGCTATCTCAGAATGCTTTTTATTTGTTTGTGTGTCATTAGCAGTGTGTTGTAATTCTGCTTGTAAAGATCTTTCAATTTATTAGCCAGATGTATTCCTAGGTATTGTGTGTGTGTGTAGGGGAGGCGGGCGGGGGGCGGGTCTATTGTAAATGGAATTGCATTCTTGATTTGGCTCTCAGCTTGAATGCTATTGGTGTATAGAAATGCCACTGATTTTCATACATTGATTTTTTATATCCCGAAACTTTACTAGAGTCAGTTATCAGTTTCAGGAACCTTCTGGTGGACTCTAGGGTTTTCTAGGTATAGAATGATACCTTCAGCAGAGATAGTTTGACTTATTTTCCTATTTGGATGCCTTCTATTTCTTTCTCTTGCCTAATTTCTCTTACTGTGACTTCCTGACTCAATATTTGGAAATCAGTCAATGTAATCTGCCATATTAACAGGTTAAAGAAGAAAATTACGTGATCATATCAATCCATGTGGGAAAAGCATTTGACAATATCTGACACTCATTTATGATAAAAACTACCAGAAAAGTAGGAATAGAGGGGAACATCCTCAATTTAGCAGAGAAACTTAACATCAGACTTAATGGTGGAAGGCTGAATGCTTTCTGCATAAAATTGGGAAGAAGGCAAGGATAACCTCTGTCACAACTGCTATTCAACATAGAACTATGGTACATCCATACCATGGGATACTCATCAGTAATAAAAAAGTACAAACCACCCATATATGTGACAATGTAGATGTATCTCAAAAACATTATATTGAGGGAAAAAGCCAGATGAATCTCAAGGACATTAAGTTACGTTGAAAAAAAAAAGCCAACCTGAAAAAGTCACATGGTCTATGACTTTTTATGTATATAACATTCTTGAAAAGTGAAAATTATAGAGGTGGAAAACAGATGAATGGTGGAAGAGGTTAGAGGTGGTGGAGGACAGAAGGGAGAGGTAAGTATGACATAGAGAGGTAGCACAAGGGAGATCTCTGTGCTGATGGAATAGTTCTGTATAGTAATTGCTATAGTGGTGGTAACATAAAACTACACATGACAAAATCGTGTAGAACTATAAACACACGGTACCAATGTCAAATACACAGTTTTCATATTGTATTATAATTACATAAGATGTATCTTATTGTATTGGGAAAACTGGATGCAGAATACATGAATCCTCTCTGTACTATCTTTGTAACTTCCCGCAAATTTATGATTATTTCAAAATAAAAAGTTTTTATAAAAGGCCATTTTGGATGCGGTACAGAGAAGAGACTGAAAGGATGAAATGGTGGAAAGATGCTGGTGCCAGGGAGGTGACAAGAAACCAATTAGGAGATTTCCTGCAGCCATTCATGACAGTGCACATTCACTCTGACCAGAGGAGGAGTGGCAGAAATAAAGAAAGTGAGTGGACGTGAGAAATTTTTAGGTAACAAGATGGAAAGTATCTCCTTGGTGATGGTCGAATGCGGAAGGAAGGAGAGGAACTTGTCATCAATAATGCCCAGATTTCTGGATGGCAAAGGCAAGTGTGGTGATACCACTATGAGACAGAGTATGGGAAAAAGAACAGGACAGGTGTAGGGAGATGGTGTGAAGGGTGAACTAGTTTTAGACACGTCAAATTTGGGGTGTTTTTGAGATAGCCACATAGATCTGTTGAGTTGACAGTTTGGAACTCAAAGTTAAATAATGGGAAGTCCAGACACAGAAATAATAATATTTAATAATAAAAAGTCATGAGCAGAAGGATTGAGGACCTACGATCTAGTCTTAATAAATTTACAAGATTTCATAGCTAGGAGGAGAAGGACAAGTAGACCAAGAATAACAAAGAGGAGGTGTCAGAGAAATATTAGGTTGGTGCAAAAGTTATTGTGGAGCAAAAACCACAATTACTTTTGCAACAACAAGAAGAAAATCCAGAAGTGGGTAGTATCAGGGAAGCTGAGGAAAGAGAGTATTTCAAGGAGAATGTGACTCACAGTATTCAATGGTCTGAGAAGTCCAGTCAGATCAGAACTGAAAATGGCTGCTGTGTTTTATGGCATAGATGTTATTGGTGGCCTCAGTGAATGGTGACGTAGATTAAGGAGCCAGTGGAAAAGGAAAAAATGAATATAGAAAATATATTAAGTTTTTTCCCAAAGTTAGGCTGTGAAGGGATAGAGAGAGCTATAAAGGAAGATTTTCATTTGTTTTGTGTGTGTTTGTTTGTTTCAAGCTAGGAGTGACTCAAAGATGCATAAATGCCAATGGAAGAGAATTGAAAATACAGAAGTGAAATGATGTGATCTAGTGCCCAAGAAGCCAAGAGGCCACAGGGTCCAGAGCACAGAGATAGAGACATAGCTGGTTATTTTTCCCAACTAGAGAGAGAAGTGCGTCTCATTCAGCAGTACCAAGATGTTGGTTGTAATGGTAATTGTGGCAATTGCCTTTAGTCTGTATTCTTCATTTGAATAAATATTCTTTCATTAAATTATAGCTTAGTAAAGTTAGAGGACACGTTAGAAATTACCTAGCTCGACTACTACTTTTACAAGTCGGAAACCTGGGGCCTGGAGAGGATGGAAGAGATCACTCCTCCCAATGATACATTGGTCTTGGGCTTAAGTCACTGCAAACCCTTGTATCCGCTAGTGTCTTCTGCAGTTCAGTAGCTTCTTTGAGCCCAGATTTCTTCATGTGAAATAATTGGACCATAATTGTTTTGGAAAGGAACAATCTGCTTTTTTGTCGATACTATTTTGAAAAAATATTTTACTTCTCTAGTCACCAGCCTTTCTGTTTGAAGCTTACAGGTCTTAGAGGTAAAACTGGTCAAGCAACATGATTACAGTTCAGCAGATGAGGCACCCATGCTATATTGAACTAAAAGCATGTAACTGGGTTTTAGGTGTGTATTTTTTTTTTTTCTTTTGAGGCAGAGTTTCACTCTGTCACCTGGTCTGGAGGGCAGTGGTGCAATCTCGGCTCACTGCAACTCCACCTCCTGGGTTCAAGCGATTCTCCTGCCTCAGCCTCCCAAGTAGTTGGGATTACAGGCACCTGCCTCTATGCCCAGCTAATTTTTTTTTTTGTTGATGTGTATTTGTAGTAGGCAGGGCATGGTGGCTCATGCCTGTAATCTCAGCACTTTGGGAGGCCGAGGAGAGTGAATCACTAGGTCAGGAGTTCAAGATCATCCTGACCAACATGATGAAACTCAGTCTCTAATAAAAATAGGTGTGTATTTAAAAAGGATTAATAGCTCATTTTTACCTGGATAGACCAGCCCTGACATCCAGAATTTTTGCTAAGACTTAGGCCATCACCCAACTGGCCCCATCAGAATTAGTTTCCTCAGCAAGGCAGGTGCCTGTTCTGTGCTTGATGCTGTTGCATCTGCTGGGACCAGGATGTTGCTTCTGTTCTTCTATAAAATAATGAAGAACTCAATTTTTCTGAGGGTCCATAGGCTAACGGATCATTCTTTCCTCTACTCACCCTCTTCTTCATGCCTTGAAATTTTAAGCCTTTTCTATGCTCTTTGCATAAAAATTGTTAATCTTCTTTTTATTTATTTATTTAGGTTTTTGTTTACTTATTTATTTATTTTAGTGGTGTTTTTAACATTTACTATAGACTTACAGCCAAGTTGTAAAAATAGTCCACAGAGCTTTCATGTACTCACCTCCCAGCTCTTCCACAACTGTAATTGTAGTGCAATTGACAGACCTTATTCAAATCTTGCCAGTTGTCACACTAATGTTTTTCCTGTGATCTAGAATCCAAACCAGCATTCCCAAATTGCATTTAGTTGTCATGACTCCAACCCGGGAGGCACTTTTCTCTTTGATGACCTTGAAACTTTTGAGAACTGCCTCTCAATTCGGGTTTGTCTGGTGTTTCCTTAAGCATACATTCAGATTATACGTGCTTCTCCCTTGTAAGCACTGGGTCTTTGGAGTCTGGGAGCTGAAGTTCGTCTGCTCCCCATCCATCATGAGCCTGTGTTCTTTGTGAAAAGCACATTCATTTAGAAATAAAGAATGGGTTTCTAGCTCCACATTTAGAGCTATAGCATAGTACTTACTGCAACTAATACAACACTTATTGTTCACCTCCAGGGTTAAGTATTACATTGTTTAATGTGCTATTTAAAACAACTGAGCACCTGGGGGTGTCTGTTCTAAATCTCTATCATCAGTTATTGTTAACTCACTAGGAACACAGCTAAGTCATCCAAACCTGATGCTTAGACCAATTACTGGATCAACCAGAATTCCTACAGACTAGAGTCACCCATAAATAACTTAACAGTCTAACAGCGCCTTAGGCCAAATGCACCAGTAACCAGTCGTGGGCATCAGAGAGGGGCTGACTTTCCAAGAGATGTGCAGGCTGGGGTACCATCACCAACATCCCCAAAATGGATATGAGAAGAAGTTGACAGCAGTCAAAACTTTCTTTCAAGCTTCTAATTCAAACGCCACATGAAAACTAACTGGGTCTAGAATCAGAGTATAATTCTAATGTCCCAACTTATTACTGTGTCACTTTAGTCAAGGAGCTTATCCTCTCATTCATTCATTCATTGTAACAAATTACGGAATGTCTTCTATGTGCTACACTTGATGTCAGGTGCTGAACATCTTATGGTGAGTCAAAACAGATAATTTTTTTTTGGCAAAACAGGTAAGGAATAATGTTCTACATGGGGTGGGGGTGGGGGAGGAATAGTGTGAACAAGAGCCATGTGGTAGAAGGGTGCAAGGGTTCTGAAAAAAACCATTGTAGCTGGATGGCAAAAAAAAAAAAAAAAAAAAAGAAGCAAGCAGAATAGAAACTGAAGCTGTGGGGTGTGGAAGGGTGAGACCAGGAGAGCACCGTAGGCGTGTTAGGGAGTTTTTGTCTCGTCCTAATAGGATGGGGGAAGCCACCAATAGGTATTAAACACTGAAAACATTTAATCAGATGCTGGGTCTGTCCTGCAGACCCTGGCCGACAGATGAAATGGGTACTCAGACACAGGTATGCAGTGTAAGAGCAGCTAGGTGACTAGGTGCTAGGTGACTGCCTGGCTCTAGACGCCAGAGAGAAGCTGGAGCAGCTTGCTTTTATTCAGAAAACCTGGAGCCCACACAACCTGTAGGTAATTAACATTTATTGTTCCCCTTTCAGGGAACGTCATGCACATGGATGATCAAAGGTCAGGTCCTGGTCAATATAAGTAAACAAGTCTGTTGAAGATAAATTCCCCCACATTCCCTTGTACCTACCCCTTGCCCTCTGCCTCAGGGTTATAGAACAGCTGCCTTCGGCTATTCTCCCCCTGGGGCTCTGCAGAACCTTCTGACCTTTCAGAAGGTTTGCGTCCTTTCCCTATAGTTTTTCCCACCCCTCTGATGGATCCCCCACAAGCAGATTTGGGTTTTGAAAGATTACTCTAACTGTAATGAAGAAAATGATTTGGAAGTCACAACACCAATTACATGGTAGCTCAGGCAAGAGATGATGCTAGCTTGAACTAGGGTGGCGGTATGGAGACCTAAGTGGAGATGTAAGGGAGTAGAAGTATTTGTAAAAAGGCAGCAATGTTTCCATAGGATCTGCTTCATACTGCTGGTTTTCAATCACTTACCCTATGACTTGAAAACTTACTTTACTTCTCCATGCCTGTTTCCTCATCTGTACAAATGAGGTATAATAATGATTTCTATATCATAGGGTTATTGAGAGGATTAAATTAATAGAAGTAAAATGCTTAGAAAAGTACCTGGAACACAATAATCACACATACCACATTCTACATATACATACACACATATATAAACTTACAGCAATTAAGAAGCTATTTAAAAAATAAAACTGACAGGACTGGGAGATAAATTGAGTATCTAAAGAAAGGGAGAGGTAGATGTGTATCTGCCAGACCTCTTACTCGCAAACAATAGATATCGACTCTGTTATTTAAGTTGAAAGAAACTGATAAGGAAAGGAATAGGCAGAAAAAAGGTGCACTTCCTACCAAAATGGAGTAATAGGGAACCATATTTCCCCTCCTACTTGGAATGACTAAGAAATTGGACAAAATTATATGAAGAAACAGATTTCAAGATATTGGACATTAGGCAATGAAGGGCGGTTATTTTTAAGAGATGGGGATGGGAAATGACGTGAGCCTTACAAATGCCCCAGTTTACCACCTTGAGAGAATTTCTAGGCTGCAGTGCAGCAAGGGTGAACCCAAAAGGAGTCTGCTGCTCACCCTGAGTTGAGGAGGTGGAGCCTCCAGAGAGTTCACAGTAGTTAGAGTTTTCAGGGTACAGCATCAGAGAGGAGAGAGCTGCATGGAGTGATAACTCTGAAGATGTACATAGGGTCCTTCTTGAGTCCTGAGCACTGAGCCTCAGTACTTCTAGAGAGGTACTCATTCTGAGCAGCACATATGGTAAAGAAAACTACCTGAGACCAGAGAAAAACACCTGAAAGGAAGAGAGGGTAGTCAGAGTCAGAGCTCACACAAAGCTGGGAATAGTGTCTGTGCCTGGCCAGACTGGAAAATGAGTCATGGAATAGAATACTTAGAAGGGTCTTAGGCAGGGGAAATTATCACTAGACTAAATGCCACTCCAGTACTCCCTAACAAATCTTAAAAGCAAGCCCTGAAAGAATTGAACTATTTCAAAATAATTAAACTATTAATTATTTTGAAATAATTTATCTCCCAGAACAAATCTCAATTTTATATATATATGAATTTTTTAAAATCCACTACCTAATATGGTAAAATTGACAATGTGTGACATCAAATAAGAAATTATCAGGCATATAAAAAATTGGGAAATATGAACAATATTGAGAAAAATTAATCAATCAAAACTCATAAGCAAATCAGAACTCACAAGATGTCAGAATCAGGGAACGAGGACATTGAAACAGTTACTACAAGTGCCTTCCATTTATTAAAAAAAAGCTAGAGTAGAGATTCAACATGTTAAGTTGTACAAAATATTAACAGTGACTCATATTTAACTTCTAAAAAAGAAAACTAAACTGCCTCAGATGAAGAATACATTGTATGGGATTAATGGCAGATTAGACATTGCAGAAGAAAAGATTAGTGAGTTGAACAGCATAACAATAGAAAGTACCCAAGTGAAATTCAGAGATAACAAAAGACTAAAAATTCAATGAACAGAACATCATTGATATATTGGATAATTTGAAAGAATGTAATGTAGATATAATTGGAGTCTCTAAAACAGAAGAGAAAGAAAGGAAAAAGAGAAAACTAAAGAAACAATGGCTGAAGATTTCCCAGATATGATGAAAACCATAAACCCAAATATCCAAGAAACTCAGCAAATCCTAAGTACAAGAAACACAAAGGCACATAAGAAATGGCTCAAAATTAGTGAAAAAGAGAAAATCACTTAAAAACAGATAAAAAGGTACTATATACACAAAAGAATGAAAATAATAGTGACAGCAAAATTTCTACTGGAAACAATCTAAGTAAAAGAAGAAAAACATCTTTAAAATTCTAAAATGAAAAAAAAACCAACTGCCAATCTATCATTCTGTGGTGAAAATATAATTCAAAAACAAAAATGAAGAAGGACTTTGAAGACATAAAAAAGGTGAAAATATTCATCACCACTGGATCTATACTACAAAACATACTTAAAGATGTTGAAGTGAAATGTATGGTAAACATAGCACAAAGGCTGGGAGAAATAACATGGACATATAATATCATAAATGATGAAGTGGTATAAGCATTACTAGAATGTAGACTGTGATAAGTTAGAGATGTATACTGTATACTGTAAATGCTAGAGTAACCACTAAAATAACAAAACAAAGAGATCTAGCTAAGGAGCTAGAAGGAGATGAAGTGGAGTAATAAAATCGTTCAATTAATACAAAGGGCCACAGAAAAAGAAATCTGTAACAAAGAACAGATAGAAAACAAATAGCAAAATAGTAGCTTTAAACCTAACCATATCAATTATCAATTATCACATGAAATGTCTAAGTACCTCCATTATAAACCAGAAGTGGTCAAATTATATACTGCCTACAGAAATCTACATTTAATATAATGATACAAATAGTTTAAAAATAAAAGCATGAAAAAAGATATAATATGCTAACACTAATTAAAAGAAAGCTGGGATGACAATATTGCTGTCAGATAAAGTATATTTCAAAGCAAAAAACATTACAAGAGATAGAGTCATTTTATAATGAAAAAGTGGTCATTTTTATCAAGAGAATATAACAATCTTAAACTTGAATGCACCTAATAACAAAGTTTCAAAGTAAATAAGCAAGGAGAAATAGACAAATCCCCATTTGTAATTGCAGATTTTAATATCTATCTCTCAGTAATTGATGAAACAAGACAGAAAATTGGCAAAGTTACAGAAAGTTAGAAAATCACTATCATTAAAATGCAACAGGATGCAATACAAGAAAAAAATTTTAAAAATCACTATCAATCAACTTGACATAATTAGCATTTTTAGAGCACACTATACAACAACAGAAGAACAGACATTCCTTTCAATGCATATGGACTATCTATTATGATAGAACATATTCTGAGCCATAACACAAGTGCCAATGAATTTAAAAGAATTCAAATCATGGAAACTGTGTGATGTGATCACAATGGAATTAACTTAGAAATCAACAAGAGAAAGATATCTGAAAAATGCTCAACTATCTGGGGAAAAAATAATACTTTTAAGCAACTCATGAACCAGAAAAAAATCAAACAGGAAATTAGAAAGTGTATTGAAATGAATGAAAATGAAAACAATATATCAAAATTTGTAGAATACTAGAGTAGTACTTAAAAGGAAATTTATAGTACTGCATGTCTCTATATGTAAAGATGAAAGGTCTTTACTTACTTTAAAGCTAGTATGATAATAATTGGCATAGAGATCGACAAATAGGTCAATGAAAGAGAATAGAAAAACCAGAAACGGACCCATGCATATTTGGGCATCTGATTTTCAACACAGAGACTAGAATTGTGGTTCCTGCTGCCTCCTGAAACTAGATGCAGCTGCTCTATCTCATCTCCAGAATTCATCTTGCTTTTCTACTCCTCTAACTTCTGATTCTGGGGCTGAGGCAGGGGGTGTTTCATAGCGGGGCTATGTGCCTATGTCTTATCTGAATTAGAGTCCGGGAAGGTGCATGCTTGCCGGGTAAGATGGAGGATGCTCCAAATGCTTCAACAGTAAACAGAGGTCAGGTAGCCAAGAAGAATAACCAAAATAAGGAGTCAGTGATGCTCTTAA
Organism: Homo sapiens; assembly: GCF_000001405.40. Lineage (NCBI taxonomy): Eukaryota > Metazoa > Chordata > Mammalia > Primates > Hominidae > Homo > Homo sapiens. Next base: position 11,673,123 of record NC_000006.12, read on the forward strand.
GCTTACCCTCAAGGGCTCAGTTTCCTTAGCTAAGAAAGAAGTATTTCATAAGATTTCCATGAGAATCAAATAAGATCATATATGTAGAAATACTTTGCAATTTTAAGTATAAATGTAAAATGTTATTTTTGAGACCCATAAAACTTTGCAACTGAACTCTTTTGAACTAAAGCCTTAATGGGACAAGCAAGAGTTAAGCAACAGGGGGAGAAGGCCCAGTGAACAAACAGGAGGAGATTCCAGGAGACAGAAAAAGGTCTGGATACCAGGTTGTGGTACAACCAGTTGTAGATCAAAAAGAGGGAAAGAATGGTTAAGTAGCTCCCCTAAGGACATTGTTTATATAGCTGTTTCCATACCTTTAAAATATAATGATTAGTACCTTAGCAAAAGAATTATAGTCAATACATTTATATATCTTGTGCAGGCCTATTACAAATAAGTTAGATAAGAATTCTCTTACAGTTGTCATGAAGTATTGTTTATTAATCTGTTTGCATCTGTATAACATAAATTACCAATTCAAATCTGGGGAAATGCTATTGCTTTCATTCCAATTTAATTGTTTATTCGACTTCATCCTTCTGCATCTTCTCATCCTCAAAAAACAAAAACGAAAACCACAAAGTTTGATTATTCCAATTGAGCTAACTAGATACTTTAAATCCACACATAACTTCTGTCTCTTGGTCTCACCTTTAGTTTGTACTATAATGACCAACATTGAAAATAAAAGCATTTATTTCATAGAGATACAAATAAAGACCTTACAACTGCATTTAGAGGATTATACAGTCACATGTCACTTAACAAGGGGGATGCATTCTCAGAAATGTGTCAATAGGCAATTTTGTCATTGTGTGAACATCATGCAGTGTATTTCCATAAACCTAGATGGTACAGCCTATGACACACCTAGGCTATGTGGTACAGCCTATTGCTCCTAGACTACAAACCTGTACTGCATGTTACTGTACTGAATACTGTAGGCAATTGTGACATAGGGTAAGTATTTGTAAATATTTGTGTTTTTAAACATAGAAAAGGTAGAGTAAAAATACGGTATTATAATCTTATGGGGTCCATCATTGACTGAAACATTGTTATGTGGTACATGAGTATAATCTACCCACACCTGTAATATTACAAAATAACATTACTTTAGGTAATTATTTGCTGTTTTTTAGTGTAGACTTTTTATTCTATAACAGCTTTAGAATTACAGGAAAATTATGAAGATAGAACAGAGAGCTCCCATTCCCTCCACACCCAGTTTCTTCTATTGTTAACATTTTACACTAGAATGATATAATTGGTCCAACTACTACACCAGTATAGATATATTGTTATCAACTAATGTCCATACTTCATTGAAATTTCCTTAGTTTTTACCTGATTACTCTTTCTTTTCCACAGTCCCATATAGGATGCCACAACACATTTAATCGTCACATCTCCGTAGGCTCTTCTTAGCTGTGATAGTTTCTGATTTTCCTTAATTTCGATGACTTTTGACAGTTTTAAGGTTTCCTGGTCAGGTGTTTTGCAGAGAGTGCCTCAGTCAGAATTTGTCTGATGTTTTTCTCATGATTAGACAGGGGTTATGGGTTTTTGAAATGAAAATCACAGAAGGAAAGTGCCACTCATTCTATCATCTCCAGGGTGCATGCTATCAAATGAGGTATCAACATGACATATTACTGTCGACATTGACCTTGGACACTTGAGTTAGATCTGTTCTGTAACGTGTGTTGTTTGCTCTGCACTGCTGCCATTCTGTATGACATTAATTTTTTTTCATTTTTTTCCAACATTTTGTTGTGAGAATTTTTAAAAATACTGCAAAGTGAACTTTTAGGTTTTTATAATAATGTTTTATACATGCTGCCACTGAGATCCTACCATCCATCTTTTACTACCCTCACTTTGTCACATCCCTGTCCATCTACCCATTCTGCCATCCATCCCACTGATCCATCTTGTTGCTTGAATTCTGTCATTTATTTTGGGTTCTATCTATTTTTCTATGCAACAGAAGAGAAAAATAGAACTGGATTTGCTGCAAAGAAACAAAGAAGGAGAAAGAATCATGGTGAATTTTAGAGTTCAAGTTTTATAGATGTGCAGGGAGGGGCACATTTAAGAAAGTAGTGAAGGGCAAAAATTAGTCTGCAATTTAGGAACTGGTAGAAGTTCTTTGATATTATGAAGTATGTCTAAAATATCACTGCCACCCTGAAAATTGCCAAACAATTGTACAAAAGAAAGCTAGAGGGAACTATGGACCAAACACGCATGACCTCAGGGGATTGGAAGGGAATGGAAGAGCATTTGCCAATTTGGAACAACAGCAGCGTGTCTCTAAAGGGACTATGTCAGAAAGACCCAGAATTGCATTTCCATTTCCAAGAACCCATCCTCAGCACTAACTAAATAGGAATTTCTGAGATACACATTTTGTTTATCCATTCCCCTAATGCAAAGAACTCTTCAGTGAATGTCCTTTACACTTTTCTTATCTGCAAGTATGAGAGTTTCTCCAGGAGAATGATCTTTGTGTTAGTTTGCTAGGGCGCCACAACAAATTATCACAAACTGGGTGGCTTAGAACAACAAAAATTTATTGTTTTACAGTTCTGGAAGCCAGAAGTCCAAGATCAAGATGTCGGCAGGGTTGCTTCCTTCTGAGGATTGTGGGAGTAAGATCTGGCCCAAACCTCTCTACTTGGCCTGTAGGTGACCATCTTCTCCATGTGTCTCTTCACATCATTTTCACTTTCTCTGTGTCTCTGTGTCTAAATTCCCCTTTTAAAAGGACACCAGTCCTATTGGATTAAGGCCCACTCTAGTGACCTTATTTTAACTGGACTGATTAACTTCTGTAAAGACCCTATCTCCAAATAAGGTCACATTCTGAGACGCTGAATGTTAGGACTTCAACATATGATTTTTGGGAGGACACACTCTAGCCCAGGCTTCACATTTATTTCTTGTATAACCTTTAAAGGAATTTGGAAAAACTTTCCACTCCTTACACATTTTAATATTGACATTTAACAATTTAAATCATAGATTTAAAGAGTTTCAAAGGATAAAACTTCTGACATTTTGTAATTATTGATGCTTTAAAACAAAATGATTATATCACTTTTTAAAATGTATCCAAAGGAATTTGGATACCATAACAATTTAATTCAATTCTCATAATCCATTATAAACATGCATGCATAATCTCCTGTGGAAATGTTATAACTTTTCTTTTTCTCCTTTTCATTCCAATTGTCCCACAGAATTTTATCTTATTGTAATATATTTTTGTCCCAGAAGGTCTCTTTTTTGACCACCCTATCATACTTCTCTTTGAAAAAATTATGGATAGAGATTGAATTTTTAAAATGTCTTATTTCCTGGAAGGCAGTAAGTGTTAAACACTTTCTTCTGGATTGAGTTATTGTAATTGTTACCCAATTGATCAAGACACCAAATCATAAAACTACAATTAATTTGTAGTTTATTAAACAGAAAAAGTAAAGTTCCATAGAGAATTCTTCTCTTAATTATAGAAATGGTACTTCTCTCCCCAGTTAGTTCATGTATCCATTGATGAAATCTGTATTGTTCCAGCATTCATCAATGCTGGAACAATACAGATTTCTGTACTCATTTTTGTCCCTCCCTCACTTTTATAGAAGTAACTGCTGATAAAATATATTCATGATAATAAATAAATGGGAGCAAATGGCATTTGTTTAGAGCAGTTTCCTCCAATTCTATGCATTCCATTCAAGTTAAATACCAAACACTACCTAGTAATTTACTGACAAAATATTTTTAGTGCTGTCTGCCAAAAATTCTATTAAGTTATTTAAATTCATGAAAGTGTCAAAAACCACCTAACATGCAGACAATCTATTGCCCAATTATGAGTTATTCACATTCTTGAATTCTGAGAGGTACACCAGAAAGAGTTTATCAACCCTAATCAAATAACTCTTAAATATACCTGTTGCTCTTTTATTTAAAGGCCCCCTGTGTAGAATGGATTGGTGTCTTAGTTTGGGCTCCCACAAAAAAGCAGACCCCAAGATGAAATCTTGAGTTGAAGAAGTTTACCTGACAGGTGATTCCAGAAGGTACACCTGAGTCAGTGAGGAGAGTGAACCAGAGAGGGAGAAAAACAATGTAAAAGTGAGTTAGTGAGTGGGTTACTACTGTAGGCCACAGAGCCCAGTTCCACCTTCTGAGTATCCTGCAGAATGCACGTCAGAACTGTCCCAATAAAGAATAGAGAAGCGGGGAATTCATCCATGGACTCCCATCTTTTATTACTTTCCCTGGCCCTTCCAGTCTCCCTGTACAAGGCTGAAGACTAGAGAGAGGGCGAATCCTCCTTACGCCAAGAAGCAGAAAGACTTGGGCATTTAAGACTCTAGAAGGTACAGTGAACTCACAGGTGGCTGCTGGGATAGGCAACAGAACAGCAATAGTGTCTCTAACAGCTGGAAATATAGAAAAATACTAATTTTATTATTGACAAAGATATTTATCTTATCAAATGCTGTAAAATATATTTTCATCTAAACCTTGAAACTGCAGATTTATCTCACTTAATTTATCAAAAATATCCTATGTTGGCAAAGCCTATACTTTTGTTAAACCTATCAGCAAAATAAGACCTTTTTTCTTACAGAAACAGTCTAATTTCATTCTTAATTCAAATAAATATGTTAATACAAGATTTAAAAATGCTATCAAGTAATTCTCAAATTTAATTTGCATTTAATATTGAGTAAATGTTAAATATTGCTGGTCGGGCATGGTGGCTCATGCCTGTAATCCCAGAACTTTGGGAAGCCGAGGCGGGAGGATTGCTTGAGCTCAGGCGTTCGAGACCAGCCTGGGCAACACGGTGAAACCCCGTCTCTACAAAAAATACAAAAATTAGCCCAGCATGGTCGTTTGTTCCTGTAGTCCAAGCTACTTGGAGGGCTGAGGTGGGAGGATCGCTTGAGCCCTGGAAGTGGAGGCTGTAGTGAGCCGTGTTCACACCACCATCATACCCCAGCCTAGACAACAGAGAGACTCTGTCTCAAAAAAATAAAATAAAAATAAATTAAATAAATAGTGCTAGAACTACTGATAAATAAATTTTAGAATGCATACTGTAAGGAGATTAAAATAATGTAAATATAATACCATTAATTTATTCACTTTTTCGTAAGTTATAAAAATAAGAAAATCATGATGCTGTTTCTGGGTAATTTATAAATACTTTTAAGCTAAAATTGTAAGTTATGTTTGAAGCGAGGTATATGTATTTCTTTGGTATGTGTGTGTATATACTTATTGTTCGTGTTCTGCTTTGGTGAATAATTAAATTACAACCAAATTTAAATATAATACATAACACCATTCATTTCTAGACCTCAGGATAATGCTTTCCCCAGTATGTAAAAAGGCGAAAACTACCTAATGCTAAAACTCATCAGTCTGGAAGAAAGCACGTAATTTTATTTATTTTTTTGTTCATAGGAATAGAAAGCATTAAGAATTTTATAAGTAAAATTAGATGAAGATAAACTTCAATTAGAATACATGTTTAAAGATGTGCTTTTATAATGTGGATTTTAACTGCTTTATCAAAGTGCACACACCAAATCTGACAGAAATTATGAAAGTATTTTATTTGTGGATTTTATCTAATTTACTCTGGGAAATTTGATAATTCCAGAAGACATTTTAGATGTGTTTAAAAGAATCAGAGTCATCAACATACTCCTTTGGCTAGCCCAAGGTGCTTTTCTTTCCAGCTGACAATACTTTTTAGGCATAAACGTTGAGAAAAGTGAAATAGAATTGCCTACACTTTAACATAGGAAAAACAGCCATAAAGTATTCAAAACATTTCACCGCTGATTTGCTTTCCTAGGCTCTCCTGCCGCCACTGCTAATCGGGTTACAATTTCTGACAGTAGATTGTCATCACCTCCACCTCTCTCTACCATGTATCTGAATATCTCATTTTATCACAAATCTTCACTCTTAACAGAAATATGTGTGGTATAGGAAAGACTAGAAGCCCACAGGCTTTATGGGCCCTAAGTAATCATTAAAGGAAGCATCTCCTTTTTCAGTTATCCAAAGGTTTTTGAACTCAGGAGCAATGCCCTAAAGCAAGATATGGCTGGGTGTGGAAAGGGCTTTTCTGAACATAGGCAGGCTCTTAGGCCAGTCTGTGAAATTCTTTATGCTTAGGAACCCCTTGGATAGTGCAGACGTGAGACTACCAGACTCTTGGATATGCACGTGTTCAGTTTTACTAAATATTAACTATTGCTCTCCAAAATGGTTGTGCAAATTTACACTTCCACCACCCATAAGGTTTCCTATCACGCTAGATCTTTGCCAACTTTTGATGTCATCAGACTTTGAAATTTCTGTCAATTTAGTAGGTAAGAAATATTATTTCATAGGTTTTACTTTATATTTTCTAAATTATTAATGAGTTTTTAGCTTATATGTTTGCTAGCTATTTAAGTTTCTACTGCAGTTAATTACCTCATATCTTTTCCTCATTTTTGGTGTTTTTTAGAAATTAAATTTTGACTTCTTTTATCTATTCTATATGCTAATCCTTTGTTTTATATGTTGTAAAGACTGTCACACAGTATATCACTGTCATATAACTTCAATCATGGAGTTGTCATCATCATGATTATCATCATTTTAATACTAATAATAACAGTTATGTTTACAATGTGCAGGGCCTGTTTTAAGTATCTTATATGTGTTGCCTTATTTAATTCTCACAACAGCTCTAGGAAGCAAGTACTTATACTCCATTTTATACCGACTAAGGTATAGAAAGGAAATTGATCGAGATTGTTCACCTGGTAAATGGCAGAGACAAGATTTGAATCTAGAAACTAATTTCAGAGCACTCATCCTTCATCACTATACTATCTCATATAACTTCATCTTAATACAATATAAAGAGTATTATAATTTTCAAATAACCTTACCTTGGTTTTGTGTAAATGGTATTGCGTTTTATAGTTAAAAGCTATATTCACATCACTTTGATAATTGACATTAAGTTCCCACATGGGTCATGTATTATGCTATACGTGTGGATTTAAAAAAGGACACAGTTTCTGCCTTCAAAAGCTTACAATGTAGGAGGTAAGAGAAACAATTGCAATACCGTGTGATGAACATTTGTAACAGGATTCAGCAAGTGATGCTATGAGAACATTTAGAAAGGTTCCCTAACATACAGTAGCATGTGATTGCCAACACTGGCTCGGCCGGGGAGACCCTAACCCAGTGGTGCTAGAGGAATTAAAAGACACACACACAGAAATATAGAGGCGTGAAGTGGGAAATCAGGGGTCTCACAGCCTTCAGAGCTGAGAGCCCCGAACAGAGATTTACCTACATATTTATTAACAGCAAACCAGTCATTAGTATTGTTTCTATAGATATTAAATTAACTAAAAGTATCCCTTATGGGAAATGAGGGGATGGGCCCAATTAAAGGAATAGGTTGGGCTAGTTAACTGCAGCAGGAACATGCCCTTAAGGCATAAATCGCTCATGCTATTGTTTGTGGCTTAAGAATGCCTTTAAGCAGTTTTCTGCCCTGGGCGGGCCAGGTTTTCCTTGCCCTCATTCCTGTAAACCCACAACCTTCCAACGCTGGCGATAGGGCCATTATGAACGTGTTACAGTGCTGCAGAGATTTTGTTTATGGGGCCAGTTTATGGCCGGATTTTGGGGGTCTTGCTCCCAACATGTGATGATATAGATAACTACATCATATGAATGACTTAACTGAAACTACAGTCAACAAAACTGCCAAATCTTTGTTACATATGCCAACCTTGTCTCCTGTTACTCATTAGTTTGGACCTAAGTGACCTAATTAATCTTCTAGGTCTGCTTGTTGAGATCTTTATGGATTCTGATTTGCCCGTGGAAAGTTTTAGCTAGCCTTTCACCACCATGTCATTTATAACTATAAACTTGCTCAGCACAGTATTGATGGTATCATTCAAGTCACTGGCATCCCCCAGATTGATAAGACTCCTAGGATAGATTTTGCAGACAAGTCCAGGCAACAACCAGGCCACCTATCAGCATTCTCAAGATTGTTCATCCAGTTCCCTATCTGCTTCCAGAACAGAGGAGGGTTGTGGGGATGGGAGGGGGAGTGAGCAGAGGAGGGGGATGGATGGAATAAGGTCATGATAAGCAACTCAGGCAGCAGAGGTGGGGGTGGAGGGCAGTAGTAGTGGTAGCTGTTGCATCTTTGCCTTTTATTTTCTTTTTCATTATTTTCCACCCATAAAAGCTGCATAATCTCTTCCAGAGAAAAATGACTTTTTAAGTTCAGAGGTGAGCTGAAAATGATGAGATACCACTTAAACTGCTGACACCTCCATTTATTCTTCTTTAAAATGGAAAAAGTAAGGCTGCACACTAAATGAAAACATTTAATTCCTTGGTATGTTTTGGAGGGAAGAAAGATTAAGAGATGCCAGAGATTAGTTTTGCTTTTAAATCTTTGTCGTACAGAAGGGGAAAAGTGCATCCAGCAGTAAAGCCACTTGTGACTTCATACCAGGGCAGGTGCAGTGTTATCTGGATTTTTCCTATAATGTCATTCCAGATTGGTTATTTTTAAGCACATGAGCACAAATAGTGATTTCTTGGCTGCTAGTTTTCTATCTCACCTCATTGCTATTTTAGCAATTGTCCTATAAATGGACAGTGCCGTGATCACACAGATGCTGGGAAAGGGAGAGAAAGAGGGCAGAGACAAGCCTGTGGACGACATGATGGGAAGGCAGGCAGGGAGTCTGCCATGAACACTGTTAGCAGGCAGAGGGAGCAGGGAAGCAAACTCAATGAAAATGCCAGCCCCCAGGATAGGCTCTTTGCCATTTGTGGAAGAAGAGTGAGGTTCTTTAAAATTATGCAGTATAAAAACACATAAAAGCTGTCTAATATTTTTACAAACTGGGGGCTTACTTCTCTGCATGATGCTTTCAGTGAATCCATAAAAGATCTAACTATTATCTGTTCACTCCAATCAATGACTGCAGATCCCTTTAGAAAAGGTTTGCAGGAAGGTGTACAGTATGTACTATGCCACAGGTTCCTTCTTTAAGGGGACATGGTCCTCCCTTCAGCCAAAGGGATCTGGATGGGTGAACTGGTTTGGATCTAGAAACCAGGTGAGAGGTCATGGTCATCTATTGTACCATGACTCAAATCAAGTTTTTAGCTCTCAGACTTGGAGTTCCATTATATTGTTCAAGGGTTGGACAAAGAAAGGGTAGTCCCTGGCCAGATCTGGCCTGCCTTCTGTGTTGTAAAACCTATGACCTAAGAATGGCTTTTACATATTTAAATGGTTGGAAAACATCAAAAGGAAAATAGACTTGGTGACAAATGAAAGTTTTATGAGCAATGTCCATAAATAAAATTTTATTGGAACCCAGCCACCTTCCTTTGGTTACTTGTGGTCTATGAATGATTTTACACTACTATGGCAGGGTTGAGCAGATGCATCAGAGACCAGATGTGTCTTCATTGCTTATAAGGTGACACTCAGCATGATGTTAAGGTGATGCAATTATAACGTGATGGCATTTTGAGTGCCATACATATCACTCCATTGCGAAATATTTTTTTTTTACCAGTTCATACAATTATGTCATGACAAAAAAATAATAGTGAACTTTGCATGCATGCCTTTAAGGTACAGTGAAGCATGGATTATTTTGTTATCAAATTAAATGGCAAAGCATTACGTTTATTATGCAATGACACAATAGTTTCCAAGTGGTTCATCTGTTAGCCAAACAAGCGAGGAACGCCGTTTACTAATGGTGGATTCATTAAATTATGCTTGATCATAGCAGCCAAATAAATGAGTCCAGAGAAAATAAACTTGTTCAAGACTATTAGCATTTCAGCAAGAACAGTTGTTTGAAGAGTTCAGAACATTGAAAGTAACACCAATGGTCAAAAAAAAAAAAACAAAGCAGATGATTTCAAGTGGTTTTCTTTGGGTCTTTATGAATTGACAGATGTTTACAATACTGTTCAATTGTTTAATTCAAGGAATCAGTACTTGACTAGTTTGAAGTGACTAAAGAATTAGCCAGTATGAATAGTCTGTGTGGAATAAATGCAGGTAAGCATATGTTAACAGAAGTTAAGAAAATATGAATCTAGTATAACATGAAGTAGAATCTGCTATGATGTGTTACAATTGAGGGTAGTAAAAATATAACTGGAGCAGAAAAAGACTTAGACAAATTTGCAATGCTTGTAAAGATGTAAAAATTTTTAAGCCTATGTTTATTTGTTGTAGTATCTGTTACAGGTATCTTGTGAAAAATACATTAATCTGTTGTGTATTATTAAACCAGTCGTACCAGTGGTGAACTTCATTTACGATTGTAGATTTTACTGTCGGTTCCATGAATTTTTGTCAGAGATAGAAGCTAAACATTAAACATGGCAGTTTTATGGTTTAGCAGTGGTAAAGTTTTATTGCAATAAAAATTTTGAGCTGAGGGATAACACTGAATTTTTTCTGAAAGAGAAGAACTGGTTTAAACCATTATTATCAAACACTGAATAGCTTTGGAAATTAGCCTTTGCTACAGACTAAATAATGTTTATTAATGAATTCAACCTAAAATCATAAGGCAAATGTCACTTATATATGTGAAGCTTAACTATAGTAAAATTACTTTGACAACTAATGTTTGAACTGCAATTAATGTCAAGCTGCTTTATACACTTTCTAATCTGTCAATGGTTAAAACAAGAATGAGATCTCCATTCCCACATAAATTTGCAGTAGATACATTCTCAAGCTCAGACAATGGTTACGGCAATGTTTTTCAGACCTCAATGGAAGTGCAAAGGAAATTTCAGTATTTCGAAACTGATTTAGTTGTACAATTGAGGAACTTCTTGCAATGTAATGACCTGTTAACAGGCAAATATAAGGGAAGAGTCTAGTAAAATTCCATAAATACCTTCTAAGCAATGAATACACTCAAATAAAAATCCATGCTCCTGAATTTCATGTTAATATTTGGTGATGCCTATCTGTATAAAAATGTAGTTTCAAATATTAGATTAAATGTATAAAAGTTCATTAAAGATCAAAATGACAGATGATATTAGCAAACAACTTTAATGATAGAAAACACTAATTTTGAACCTGAATTAAGTGAAATGTTATCCCCCCAAAAAATTCCTTTTCCTCATTAGTATTACAAAAAAAGTACTCAATTAGTAGTATTATATTTTAAGTTTCATCAACAAAAATTTTGTAAAAATTTGTGTTATCTTCTGTAATATAAGTACCTATATAACATCATTAATTTTGCTTCTTGAAGTGAAAAGTCTAAAATATTTACTATCTGTACCTTTACAGGGAGAGTTTGGTAAATCCTGACATAGATTAAGTAACATTTTCATGGGTAGTCCATCTATTTCATTTCCAAGGACACTGTGGTCAGCAATGACCACTGTAAGTCAAAAACTTTCTAATTATCACTTTGTCTCTCCTGTACTTTTCTGTAAATGCATTTCATCTTTCTTTGGTAGTAAAAACTACCAAATGACCTATGTCACTCTGGGATCTCATATTCCCACCAAAATATCAATGTGGAATCCTCACCGTCATTTGAGGCCTACAGATGACAGCCACCATATAGCTAACATGCAAGAATGCTGATGCTCTCTTCACCAGTGAATTTCTCAATTGTGAAGGAAGCATCTTTGGGCCACCTTGGGATGTGGAGAGTAGAGGCAGGGTGTTCAGGGAACACATTATAAATGTGCTTCAACATTGTTGTATTCCTAAGACTCCAGATTCCTTCACATTTTGCCAAGGAAGTTCAGGCATGTCAATCTCATTAAACATAAGCCATGGTTGAGTCAATCTATCAACCAGGCAAACTGCTAGAGCCACATCTAGCTTCACGAGATAAAATATTAAATCCGGGGTTTCTGGTAAGTGCACTCACATCAATAAGTTCAATAAAATCCAGTCCACTTGTTATATTTCATTCTCCTTGGTCTAATACCCTTGGAATAAACTCCCACACATATTTTTTTCAGGATTCTACCACTAAAATTAGCATAATCTTACAACTGTTTTAGCATGTAAGTTATTTCCTCCTGGGTCAGACTTTGTACTTGCCCTTAGGGAACATGCTGAGATCGGGCCCTTATTATGGGTATAGTGAGAAAAGGAATGGTCAGAATGGGTTGATGAGAAGACGTATTTCATGGCAAGGCAACTGCCCCATTATTAAAGTTTATTCAAGAAGCAGAAGGCTGGTCTCTCCAGGTATGTGAGGATAGGCATCTTCTGCTGGCAAAGGAGGTCAGATGACTCAGGGGTTCAGAATTCTGAGCTTGCTATGAATCCATCCTGATGTCATTCTTTCGAGTCTAAGGGTCATTATCTTTTCTAGTTGATACCCAACCTTCACTTGAGAAACTTGAGAGTCTATAAATTCAAATTCAACTTTCAACTCTGAAATCTGTGCAATTAACTTTTGTGTCTTATTTTCAGCAAACAAGAGAAAGAAATGATATTCTTTCAGGACTGGCCTGGAAGCTTCTTAATTATCTATGACTCAAGCTCAGAACTTAAAGAAGCAGGCTTTTTTTTTTCTTTCTTTCTTTTTTCCTTATGCAAGTGCTTTAGGGCATTCAGAGGGAGCCATTCCATACTATCACCCGTGTAGTCATCGTAGCTGCTGCAGTAGTCAAATGCAGAGGACATTTGGTTCTTCCAAGGCTCTTGCTTTAGTAAGCACTTGAAAAGCAACCACAGGTAATAGTTTTATAAACTGTGATGTCACTGCATGCCACTGGTTACTGGAATTCCATTTGCCATTAGCAGGAAGTTCAGCACTGCATTCAAGATGAGGGACCCAGCCAAAGCAAACCCACAATTCCATTGTTGATGTTTGGTCCTACTGATTTGGGTTCTAGACCCCCAAGGAAAGGATAGCCACCTGCTAGTGTTTCTGAGGGGGTATGAATATTGGAAAACTACAACTGGAATCTTCTGCTACTTCCCTAACCATCCCTGCCAAAGTAAAGGAGTGAGGCTGGGCGATGATGACAGCAACGGTACGCAAACAAGAAGAGTGAGTGCCTTCTTCTTCTCCAGCCATCTGGTCTTCCTCCACCCACCACTATTAGAGGAGGCACACCTGGGGCCAGGCACAGTGGCTCATGCCTGTAATCCCAGCACTTTGGGAGGCTGAGGTGGGCGGATCACTTGAGGTCAGGAGTTTGAGACCAGCCTGGCCAACATGGTGAAACTCCATCTCTACCAAAAATACCATCTCTACTAAAAATACAAAAATTAGCCAGGGTTGTTGGTGGGTGCCTGTAATCCCAGCGACTCAGGAGGCTGAGGTGGGAGTACAGGAGATTCGCTTGGACCTGGGAGGCAGAGGTTGCAGTGAGCCAAGATTGCACCACTGCACTCCAGCCTGGGTGCAGTGAGACTCTGTCTCAAAAAAAAAAGAAAAAAGGAAAGAAAAGGAAAGACACACTTGGAGGGAGCTGGTAAAGCAGAAATGGGATTTGCAAAGTCAGCCCCAGAATCACAAAGCCAAGTATAGAAGCATGAGTTTGAGTTTGATACCGAGAGAATAGCTTAATAACTGGCTCACTAATAAAGTGCACTAGGATGAAGTTTTAGCCACTTTTTCATTTAGTACACTTGTAAGACATGGTTAGAGTCTGGGCTGTAATTAAGGATATAGGAGAGGACATATATTTTCCCTTGAAAAGAAAATATTATTGGTTTCCCTATGAAATGTTTCTTTTTAACGTAGTCTCTGTGGAGTCACTCATTTACACTGTGAGCATTATTTATTAGCTCACGGATTTATAGAATACAAGTCAGGATGCACCTTCTAGGTTTATGGTGTTTGCTGCTGGGGGATTCTGTAGAATGGGAAAGAAACCTCATTTAAGCTAAGTTATGTTTTCAGCTGTGCCAGTAGCCAATTTATTTGAAGTTGGCTAGAGTCTTAGTCAATTTTCTTTTGCCACAGTCCATTATTTATCAACAGAGGTCTGTGTTAAAGAGAGAAAGAGATGAAAGAAAGAAAAAGAAAGAGAGAGGAACATACATTTAAAAATATATAAACACTTCATCGCGGCTCCTTGATCCATTTTCACAATCTCCCAGGGATTTGGGGAGAGGGAAGGAAGTGTGAGTCCCTTGCTTTAGGCACTGATTATATAAGGTGAGATTAATTTTCCCACATCGTGTATGGAATCCATCTCCTTGCTTGGCAGTCATAGTTCTGCCTCACTTAAATCTATTTGCATCTAGCTAAGCCCACAGAGGAGGGTGTAGCTTAGAATAGAATTTTGCCTTTCCAATGCTTCTTTGGGAACTTTTCAGGATGATGATAAAGGAAATAATATGGTTAGCTTCAAACGTGCTCATAATTCTTCTGCAACAAAAATTGAAAGCGAGGGGTTGAGAGAAAGGAAGAGACCTGGCTATCTTCTGGGTCATGCTGGAATGCGCTGTTGGTTTTCAAAGTGTGAGGAGTGTTTCAAGATAGTAGGGATCAGGGACAGGCCAAATGGACCCTGTGATGGGGGCCTCTGTTATCCTTCACTGCAGTTAATTAATAGCCTAAGGGAGAAGATAAAGGAGAAGAGAAATGCTTTAGAAAATAAATAAATAAAACGTGGGTACAGGGTCAAGTAGTGCTCTCGCTGTAGAAGGAGATGATTATTGTAATTAGCAGCAATGCATATGGATCGTGCCAATTTGTGAAAGCTGTGAGGGTGTCGTATTTCTTCTATTCTCTCCTCCTACAATCCTCTGCTAACTCGGCTACTCTTGTTAACCTGGTTACTCTGCTGTCTTTGTTTCTTCTCTTTCTCTCTCTCTCTCTCTGTGTGTGTGTGTGTGTGTGTGTGTGTGTGTGTGTGTGTGTATGTGCGTACGTCTGTAGGTAGCTAGATACATGGCTGTGGTAAGTAGTTCTACAGCAGGCAAATATCCCAAAACAGTCGAAAGGGCCAATGTTCTTAGTTGAATGCGACTCAAAATGCAACCAAGTCCATGGTTGCCTGTGATTAATATGAACTAACCCCCTCCCACTTGAGGATGAGAGAGGAGGATTGTGTTGCCTTAATATTCACAATTGTCCATTATCTCGCATATCAAAGAATGACTGAATTTTAAAGCTGGAAGGGCTTTAGAAATCACATTTTCTAACTTCTTATTTTTAAACATGAGAAAGCTGAGGCACGATAGGCTGAATTATGTCTCTGAAGTAACACAGCTGGAGGAAAGCTGGGCCAGGATTGGAAAACAAAGGTTTGCCAGTAACTTTATTGCTGCTTCTTACATGTGATGTACACATGAATAGAAGAGGGTAAATACAATATGTATGCATAGTGTAATATGTAAATACATTCAGCTATATTTGAATATGACATTTTTTAAAAAACTGCTCTTTCTACTTTTTTATGTACAGACATGGGTTCAAAGATCTATTAAGCTTTAACGCATACATTCTTAGATAAAAAATTTGTTATTTGTTGAATATCAAACTATATCCTTGATAACGTCCCTCCTTTTATCTTTCTATATTCTGCCTTTCAAAAGCTTCTATGAGAACTTTTCAGGATAATGATAAAGGAAGTAATGAGGTTAGCTTGACATATGCTTAAGTTCTCTTTGATAACCCTGTCTAAGGAAAGGTTCCTCGGGAGACAGAATGGTCTCTGAACTACGAAGAGAAGAACAGGAAGCAAAGGATACACAGACAGGGGTAGAGGTAACAAGAGAAAACTGCAGGACCTGGGCGCTGATCGCTAAGTTCCTGCTTGGTCTCTTTTGGAGACCTTTGCTACTTTGTATATTCACCTTTAAAACTTTCTCTGGGTTGCTTCTTTTAAAAAGAGCAGTCTCTTCAAAACAAGACATACAGACAGCCAACAATCATATGAAAAAAAGCTCAACATCCCTGATCATTAGACAAAAGCAAATCAAAAACCACAATGAGATACCATCTCACACCAATCAGAATGGTCATTATTAAAAAGTCAAAAAATAATAGATGCTGGCGAGGTTGCGGAGAAAAGAGAACGCTTATACACTGCTGGCGAGAGTATAAATTGCTTCAACCATTGTGGAAGACAGTGTGGTGATTCCTCAAAGACCTGAAAAACAGAAATACCATTGGACCCAGCAATCCCATTACTGGGTAGATACCCAAAGAAATAGAAATCATTCTATTCTAAGGACACATGCACAAGTATGTTCACTGCAGCACTATTCACAACAGCAAAGACATGGAATCAGCCTAAATGCTCATCACTGATAGACTGGGAAGAAAATGAGGTACATATACACCATGGAATACTATGCAGCCGTAAAAAAAGAACAAGCTCATGTCCTTTGCAGGGACATGGAAGGAGCTGGAAGCCATTATCCTCAGCAAACTAACTCAGGAACAGAAGATCAAATACCACATGTTTTCACTTATAAGTGGGAGCTAAATGATAACACATGGACACAAAGAGGGGAACAGCAGACACTGAGGCCTATTGGAGGGTGGAGGCTGAGAGAAGGGAAAAGATCAGGAAAAATAACTAATGGGTACTAGGCTTAATACCTGGGTAATGAAAATGTGTACAACAAACCCCCATAATGTGTGTTTATCTACGTAACAAACCTGTACATGTACCCCTGAACTTAGAAGTTAAAAAAACAAATAAATATAAACAGCAATTGTGTTGTAGATTCAGGTAGTTCTCTCTGACATCACACAGCTCCTGTGCTTTGTTGATATTGAGTTCCAGAACTCAAAAACAGCCTTCAGTAGCCGGCATAGGCTCATTAGTCATCATTTCCTATCTTTACTCTTCCTTTCTTGTTTTCCGTCAGAACCTATACCATGAATTGTCAGGTCATTTACTTTAACAAATGTTTATATATTTACCTTTGAAAAGAGCACTGTCAAAAATCTTAATTTCAAGTTCCCACTCAGTTACTTAACTGTATGGCTACAACCAAATCACCCAACTTCTCAGAGGCTTATTTTTTCCTCTGTAAAACTGGAAAATTTATACTGGATCTGCTACTCTGATGAGATAAAGTGGGAGGTGCTTGTTATTTTTTGGTAAGTGTGGTGGGCAAAATTCAAAGATGGGCCCTGAGATTCCCAACCCCTGGTATATGCCCTATGTAATCTTTTCCCTTTGAATTTGGGTGAGACCTTAAGTGAATATGATGGAATATCACTCCTGTGATTTGGCAGGTAATCAATCAGCTGACTAAGAGTTAAGCAAGAGGGAGAAAATCCCAGGTGGGCCTGACCTAATGAAGGGAACACTTAGAAAGGAACTGGACTTTATTTGACAAAAGACATGAAACCAGAGAGATACTCCTGTATCTCTGAGGAAGGAAACAGCCTTCTTGTGAATTACCTACCGAGGGGTGCACCTGTGAATGAGGGACGGGTCTGAGTGTGGAGCTGAGAGTAGTCTCCAGCTGAGAGCTGGCAAGAAAGTGGGAACCTCAGACATGAAGCTGAGCATGAATAAACTCTACTACCACTTTATAGAGCTTGGAAACAGACTCTTCCCCAGTCAAGCCTCCAGATGAGAATATAGCCCTGCTGAGGCTGTGCTGGAATTCTGTCTCATGGGAATTGTGAGATAATAAATTTGTGTTGTAAGCTGCTAAGTTTGTGGTAATTTATTATGCAGCAATATAAAACTAATACACTGGGTGCAGTGGTGTGTGCCTCTAGTCTCAGCTACTTAGGAAGCTGAAGCAGGTGTATCAGTTGAGCCCAGGAGTTGGAGGCCAGCCAGGGAGACATAGCAAGACCCCATCTCAGATAAATAAATAAATAAATAAATAAATACAACTTAAAATATGCACAATGGCCTAAAAATAAACAAATAGAAAACTAATATAATTATCCAGTACTGTACTCCAAGAAGTGAGGGGTAAAGAAAGTATATATTCTTTCTTCTCACCTTGCAGCACCTAGAGGACAGATTTCTCCAATAAGATGTGCCCACCTAGAACTATGAATCTGGAAGGAGGAACATCCAGACCCAGAGACCAGTCACAGTGGCAGCAGTGGCAGATGCTAGTGGTGCTGGAGGTTGGGATAGCTTTCAGGCCAGATGTGACCATGGCATGACTTTGTGCCGCACAGGGCCAGGTTCCCTTAGTTCCTGAGTGTTCTCTGTGCTCTAGGGCTCACATAAGTTCTGTGGACTATTCATCATTTTCCCAATACATTTATTTCTGCTGCAATTAATCAGACTTGGCTTCTCTTGTTTGACTCCAAGAACTTGGATTATTATGGACCATATATGTAAGAGTGCCTTGTAAACTGTGACAAATACTATACTATAAATGTAATGCACTATTTTAGTTGTTTCTCTGCTCTCGTTTTCCTTTAGGCTCATATGTATGACCTTAGACCCTCTCTGAGCTGTTATAATTCTTGGTGTCATCCTGCATGCTGATATTCCCATAAATAAGTGTACCTTTATTCCAATAAATACATGAACATAACGTGAATCTATGTAAAAATGAAAGGCTTATTGACAGATCAGAAAAGTGAGAACATTTAAGGACTCAAAGTAGAGACTGTTTCCTGAAGGGCTTGTTTAGGTTTAACATATTGCTTTCAGCTGAACTTAAAGGTCAAACAAAGCAACATCTGTTTCTGTCTTAAACCATTGAGAAAACAAATGTCTGCTACTATGAGTGTCTCCAGGGAAGAGGTCTCCTTGACCATTCTTCAGAATGAACTGGAGTCTCAGGAGTATGTATTCTGATGGGTTCAGATTCACATCTTCACTCACCAGGAACCAGAACAGAGGTCTCTATGTATCTTTCCAGACCTCTTACAAATTCCTATTATGAAAGGTGCAGAACAGTGAATAAGCACAATGAAAAGTTTCATCTTTGAAACTTAATTGCAAAGCACAGTTAAAAGCCAGACAAAACAAAAACCACTGTGTTCATCAGAGCCATCTCAGGAGCCTTGCAGGTAGTGGGGGAAAGAAGGGGCGAAGCTTTGGCAAGTAACTACACTCAATCATTGCAGCTATGCTCTGAGATTTGCATGTTGAGGTTTTGAGGCTCTAAAAACTTTGAGAGTACCTGCTGGCAGAGCTATTTGTTTTGATTGTCTAAACCCAGGACCATTGGGTAAATTTACGTATGGCCACTGTGGCTCTGCAAGGCAAAAGACTATAACGATGACTTTCTCCAGTCACTACATTTGCATCTAGTCTCCAGCAAGGGGAAATAAGTTTTTTGCCTCTGATCCCTGGGAGGAGAGCTCCAGTGAAGCAGAAGGCTGAGGTTCAGTCAGAGAACATGCATTTTCTGAAGCACAGGGAAAGAAGTAGGAAAAAGAGGTATTAGAATGGCATGTGGTGCTTTGCTGAATAGCTTCCCCAGGACAACGATATGAGGACTTCATTTAAGTTCCCAAATACAGAAAAATGCTGTCAACACAACCTCAGTAGAGAAAGCTGCAAAAGTTAATAAATACAGCAACTTCGGCTAGCAGTTTACTTGTAGCACTTGGAACAGAAACGATGAATGCACCAGAAAGTCAGCTGTCACGTGGTGGTGGGAGGTGCAGAGTGCATTGGTAGTAAAAGCTGCTGCTGCAAGGAGAGGCAGAGCAAGGCCAACTGACCTCATGGGTATCAGAGCCACACTGGAGAGGACTCCCCTGGGAGCTATCCCTGGCCTGCCTATGCCATGGAGGAAACTGTTGCTCTGATGTTCCCTAAGTTGATTTAACTCTAATGGTATATCCTTCAACACAGAGGGCAGAGTGTGGCCAGGGGACTTGGTAGTCTTGGAGTCCTATGTCATCTATGTGGTCTGATATGGTTTGGCTCTTTGTCCCCACCCAAATCTCATGTTGAATGTAATCCACATGTGTTGGGGAAGTGGCCTTGTGGGAGGTGATTGAGTCATGGGGGCTGACTTCCCTCCTGTTGTTCCCTTGATAGAGGTCTCATGAGATCTAGTTGTTTGATAAGTGTCTGGCACTTCCCCCTTCTCTATGTCTCTCCTGCTGCAATGTAAGATGTGCTTTCTTCCCCTTTGCCTTCCACCATGATCATACATTTCCTGAAGCCTCCTACCCATGCTTCCTGTTAAGCCTGTGGAACTGTGAGTCAATTAAACCACTTTTCTTTATAAATTACCCAGTCTCAAGCAGTTCTTTATATCAGTGTGAAAAGGCATTTGAGACTTTTATTTCAGAGGCACAGGCTTGGCTGGAAATAAGGATGGTGTACCACTTGATGCAGCAGAATCCACCTGGCAGTCAGCTCCTTTTGGCTGATACGAGGCCAGAAAATCTGTGCCTGTGTCCCTTCAGTCTGCATTTATGAACATGGGCTGTGATTGAGTGAGACCTTGTAACTGTTAAATTCCCTGTAGACATGGTGCCTCCAGTGAAGGATAGTATAATTTCAGAATTTCAAGGCTCAAAAGATAATAAAGCAGAGCTAAACAAAGCTTAAATTGTATCTCCTGGTTCATATACAAATGAATATGGCTATGAGTGAGTCACTGGATGTTTAGAAAAATTGATCACCGATTTATACACATTGTTCACTTTATTCACATTACTGGAAAATCAGAGCTGCAACATTTAAACTAAAAGGCTTAAAGTTATATGAGAGAACAAGGGACACTGATATTTGGAATTTCTTTGACTTACTGCTGGAACCCAATGTGATCAAGACATCTTTAATGGGCATTCTAATTGGTTGCTTTGGCCAAAGTTTTGGTGTGACCGAGAGAGGGGGGATGATGAAGCCTAGTTAGGAGCTCTCCTACCTACCAGGGAGTAACAACTTGTCCCGGAGGGAAATATGAACAAGAACCATGTAACAGACCAAGGTCAATAGCAGTGGCAGCTCTGTATTGAGCATTTATTCAGTGTCAACTACTGTGCTGGGCTCACCTTCACAACGAGACAGTATTACCATCATCATTTTACCAGTTAACAGTTACCTACATAAGGCCACACCGTTCATAAGTGGTCGAATGATAATGATGATGATATTAACAATCATCATGAGAACTTACCTGGCATTGTGCTTTTCTGTTTACAGAAGGAATTTAAATAAATAATTGCATTTGATCCTTATAGTATGTTGGTGTTGCTATTATTATTTTCATTCTTTGTGTGGAAAAACTTGGACTGAAAATTGCCTTCAAAAGTAGCACATATTAAAACAGTAAGTCAAAATTCTTTCTTTATATCCATTGAAAGTATACCAACTTTCAGCTGTGTGACATTAAGCAAGTTATTTAACTTATTTAAGCCTTGTTTTCCTTGTATTGACTACTCAAGAGTACAAAGAATGAATGCAATGATTGTCTTAAATTGTTTGGTGGTGTTGGGGTTCAATAAATATTAGCCATTTTAATATTATTATTTTGAGAGTTTCAGATTTTCTTGGAAATTTTCCATGGGACTTATTTTACAAAACCATCAAAAGGACTTTTTAATAAGGTGCTCATATCCTTGAAACAGTATCCTAGTGTAACCAAGGACAAACTGGATGGAAGATGTATTGTTTACTTACATCTTTTTCTTAAAGAATATTATATTTTCTCCTCAATATATTGATTCAAGAAATGCATAGTTAATGCCTCCTCTGTGTCCTTTATTGTGCAAGACATTGAAGATAAGCCAATAAACCAAACCCGGTCCCTGTTTTCAAAGAGCTTTCACTCCAATGGAGCAGCCATTTATATGGATAATACCAACACACTGGTGAGTGCATTTCAGTGCAGGTGCTTCACTTCTAGGTATTTCCTCAAGAGAAGAGAAAACATATATCCAGTAAAGGCCTTGTATAGGAATATTCATAAAACCTTTATTAATAATGAATCAAACTGAAATTGACCCAAATGTCTAAAAAGAAGAAAATGGATTAACAGATTGTGATGTATCCATACATACTAAAGCAATACAAATGATGAAACATGGATGCAAAGATATGAATGAGTCTTTAAAACATCATGCCTATACCAACGTAAAGAAGCCAGACTATGTGCATCCTATACAACTTATATGAAATTCTATAATGACATTAATCTATGCTGAAAGGAATCAGAACAGAAGTTGCCTGGACTTGGAGGTGAAACAGGGATTTACCAGGAGGTGGCATGGGAGCTTTCTGGAGTGATGAAAGTGTTTTATATCTTGACAAGGAGAAAGGGACATGGCATAGGATACACAGGTGTATGCATTTGTCAAAACTCATCAGACTGAGCACATGAGATCTATGTATTTCACTGTATGTAAATCCTATCTTAATTTAAAAATTTCTAAGTATTTTTTGTTTTTACACTATTGTAAATTGTATTTTTGGACATTTTATTTTCCAAATCTTTGCTATTAATATGAAGCAACACAATTGATTTTTGTATATGAACCTTGCATCTTCAGACAGACAGTGATAAATTCACTAATTATTTCTAGTAATCAGTTTTTAAAAATATAACTCTTTTGGATTCTGCATGGTAGACCTCCTTCAGTCTTTCATTTCTCTTAGCTATTCCCTCATGTTTTCCATCTTTTGTCTCTCTGTGCTACACTTAAAATAATTTCTTTTAATATTTTAGTTCTCTCTAGTTTTGGCCTTTCTTCTCTCAAACTCATCTATTAGGTTTTTTATTTCTATATTTGTATTTATTTTATTCATTTATTTATTTATTGAGACAGAGTTTCATGCTTGTTGCCCAGGCTGGAGTACAACAGCACAATTTTGGCTCATCTCTGCCTCCAGGGTTCAAGCAAATCTCCTGCTTTACCCTCCCAAGTAGCTAGGATTATAAGCATGCACCACCATGCTTGCCTAATTTTTGTATTTTTAGTAGAGATGGGGTTTCGCCATGTTGGTCAGGCTGGTCTCAAAAGTCCTGACTTCAGGCGATTCACCCACCTTGGCCTCCTGAAGTGTTGGGATTACAGGCATGAGCCACTGCTCCTGGCCTGTATTTGTATTTGTATTTCTAGAAATTTTACTTGGTTATTTTTCATACCTGCTAGGTCACTTTTTTTTTTTTTTTTTTACAATTTCCTGTTTGCTGCAAATATTTTCTATCTTTACTTCTTTAAACATAGCTATTTTGTAGCTTGCATCTAATTGTTCCTATACCTGAAGTCTTTCAGGGTCTGTTTATGTCATCTATTATTGCTGCTGTTTCTTTCTCATCATAACTTACTTTCGTGTGGCTTGGTTACCATGAACTAGGCACTGCTCATTGTCTAGAAGACATGATTTCTGGTAATTCCTGTGACTTGGGTGAAGGTATCCTTCTCCAAATAGTTTTGCCTTTGTTTCTATGAGACATTTAGGAGCACTGCCTCTCTGTGACCAATTTATATTAAAGTTATGGCTTGAAGTTTTCTGGTCCACCCTTGGGTTTCAAATTTAGGCTAACAATTCTCAGAAGCTAATCTCTAGACAGGCTACTCACGGACAGGTTATGTGTTGTTTTTGTTTTTCTCCTTTATTTAGCACTAAGA
Organism: Homo sapiens; assembly: GCF_000001405.40. Lineage (NCBI taxonomy): Eukaryota > Metazoa > Chordata > Mammalia > Primates > Hominidae > Homo > Homo sapiens. The sequence goes on from NC_000006.12 coordinate 11,696,762, forward strand.
CACTGCTATCTTAGGACTTTTTTTAAACAGGAGGAATGGGTAATTTTTACTTCCTGAAGGTTTTACCTTTGGGATTCTAGGTTAATGTAAGTGGGGAGTCTGATATTAACATTCCAATTTGGGTGGGCTCTAGGCTTTTGACTTCTGTCCCCCTTATTTTGTGAGGTCTTCAAAACTGGAGCACAGTTCTCTGTATGTTCTTAGGACAAAAGGCTTTGTTTGGCTGTGTCCCCCCTGAAATCTCATATGATATGGTTTGGCTGTGTCCCCACCCAAATCTCATCTTGAATTCCCACCTGTTGTGGGAGGTAATTGAATCATGGGGGCAGGTCTTTCCTGTGCTGTTTGCGTGATAGTGAATAAGTCTCACGAGATCTGATGATTATATAAGGGGGAGTTTCCCTGCATAAGCTCTCTTCTCTTGTCTGCTGCCATGTGAGGCATATCTTTCACCTTATACCGTGATTTTGAGGCATCCCCAGCCACGTGGGACTCAGAGTCTATTAAACCTTTTTTTCTTCCCAGTCTCGGGTATGTCTTTATCAACCATGTGAAAACGGACTAATACAGTTTCTCTTCTGGGTTCCTGGAATCTCTTAGATCTTGGTCTGGTAATTCATTATTGTCTTGTCAGTTTCTTGATGCTTTAAAGGATACTAGAAAATTATTGTATTCATTATTTTTAGTTGATTTTAGCAGGAGAGTTGACCAAAGTGGCCTAGCTCTTTATTATTAGAAATGGAAGAAAATAAAATTTGGAATTTGTATGGTCTTTCATCATTTCTAAGTATAAAAGTAATCCCCCAAGTTGATAAGTTTCAGTATGTAAATTTTTTTAAAAAAATCTGCATGGCAAAAAAGAAAATAAAGAAAAAAAAGAAAGAAAATAAATCACAAAGAGGACTAATAGACATTCAACAAGCAAGAAAAAGCATTTAAAATTCTAATCAAGAAACTCAAGCTCAGGAGAAAGAGACCGATTTTCTTTCTTTTTAAAAAGTTTACCATTTTATTTATTTAATTCATTCATTCTTAGAGATGAAGTCTCACTCTGTTGCCCAGGCTGCACTTGACCTCCTGGGCTCAAGTGATCCTCCTGCCTCAGCCTCCCAAGTAGATAGGACTACAGGCACTCATCATTGCACTTGACTTAGCTTTCTTAATATATCAAAAACTCTATATTATTATCAAACTATATCATTATCAACTCTATATTATCAACTTACACTATTTTATCAAGTCTTAAATATTGCCTTAAAACTTAATATCCTAGGGCAACAAATACTTATAATCTCAAAATTCCTGTGGGTCAGGAATCTGGGAGCATATTAACTGAGTGATTCCAGCTCAGGGTCTCTCAGGATGTTGCAGTGGAGACATCAGTCAGGGCTGGGTCTTTCTAAGGCTTACCCGAGGCTGAAGGACCCTGGCTAAGGTCATTCATGAAACTCTCAAAAGAGCCTCTGCTTCTCACCACGTGGTCTTCTTTATCCAGGGCTGCTCAAGACCTGGCTACTGGTGTCCCCCAGAGCAAGTGAGATTGAGAGAGCCACCAAGACAGAAGCTGATTATCTTTTATGCGCTAATCTTGGGAATGGCATACCATCTCTTCTGCCATATTTTATTGGTCACACAGAGCAACTGTGGTACGATGTGGGAGGGGGAGTGTGTCAGGGTGTGGATATCAGGAGATGGAGTCATCTGGGGCCATCTTGGAAGCTGCCTGCCACAAACTCCTACAGTTCAATAAGACAAGCAAAAAACAAACCCCAAGCAGAAAAATGAACAAGAGATATAAGGAGACACGTATAACTAAATCCATGTATAGTAAAGATAAGGACAAAGGTGTATCTTTATGTTAAAATACATCATAAACATCAAAAGATGCTTGACCTCGCTCAAATTAAGAATAATGTAACTTAAAACTGTATTGGGGCACCATTTCTACCCATAAGATTGGTAAAGATAAAACACAAAGTTCTAACTCACGGTATAGTTGAGAATTTGGGGAAACAGAGCCTCATATTTTGTCAGCGAGCGTAGACTTTGGTAAAACCTCTATGAAGAATAATTTGGCAATAACTATCAAAAGTAAAAATATACATATCCTTTGATCCAATAATTTCACTTCTAGGAATTTATTCTAAGTATATTCTGGCACACGTGCAAAAATGATGTCTGCAAGAAGATATTTATTGCAGCATTGACTTGTAATAGTAAAAGATTGGAAACCATCTGAATTTCTATCAATAGAGAATTGATTAAATAAATTATGGTAATATACATACATATAATAGAATTCTATGCATCTCTTGAAAAAGAATGAAGCAGCCCTCTTTACACTGATTTAGGATTTTCTCCAACAGGTACTGAAAGATGTAAAAGCAAGGCACTGAACTGCGTGTCATCATTTGTGAGAAAAATACATACATGCTTGCATGTGAACCGAATATCTCTACAAGTATATCCAAAGGGTTGATACTTGTAGCTGTTTTGTAGAAGGGAACCAGGTGTGTACGGTGTAGGAGTGTGAGGGAGACTTACCTGTTATGCATTTGTTATTGTATATGTTGAATTCTATACTATGTACATGTATCAACCACTCAAAAATAACTTAAAAATACATTTCTAAAAAGCATACCATAAGCCTGGGCAACGTAGGGAGTACCCTGTCTCTACAAAAAATTTAAAAATTAGCCTCTTATGGTGGCACATCCCTGTAGTCCCAGCTACTGAGGAGGCTGAGGCGAGAGGATTGTTTGAGCCCAGGAGGTCGAGGCTGCAGTGAGCTGTGATTGTGCCACTGCATTCCAGTCTGGGTGATAGAGAGAGACCCTGTCTCAATAAAAAATAAAAAATAAAAATAAAAATAAAATAAAATAAAATAAATAAAAGGATATAGTAATGACCTGAAATTTAGGTGCCCTGATCTAAGTTGGCATCAATAGAAATAAAGAGAAGTAGAGCTGGCAGGACATGATGAATCATTGGATTGGACAGTGGGAGAAGGAAGAGTTCAACTTGATGATCCACTTCTTGCTACAGGCACCCGAGTAGATGGAAGATAGGGAACCTAGGAGAATACCTCTGATAAGAAAACTTATGTATTTGATAAAATGATTAAAGTTTATAGAAAAAAATACATTTTTAAAAAGTCAAGGCTGTTCTTTTTTATACTCTACTATAAGCTTCTTGCAACTAGATGTTATATTATAAATTTTCTTATAGCTCTTACAGTACTTAGAATGGTGTCTTACTTGTTATAGATGCCCCATAAATATTTGTTAGATGAGTGTCTGAAAATCAAATTTCTAAAACACTGTTTTATCTTTTCAGAAGGTGGATTAACTATTTGCCTAAATGCAAAGTGTGAGCATCAAAGAGGTTGAAAATGTAATATCTCATTATGTCTTTACTCAAGGGTGAGGAGAAAAGATGAAGAACAGTGGAGAAAAGTGGAGAAAAGATGAAGTTTATGCAGCAAATTGCTAACTGGAACAAGGTATAGAATTTTCAAAACACAAGATAATTAGTTTTACTATCTCTTAAAAAAAAGAAGAGTCCATTTAGCCACCAGAGGGCTCTCATCTTCCCATTTAATAACAGGCCTAGACCCAAACATGAGATAATGTAAACATGCAGTTGAAAACCAGAAGAGAATATATATATATATATATATATATATATATATATGTTCAACTGCATTTTTTCATTTTATATTTTGTATATATAAAATACACACATATATAGGTATTTCCTTTCCTCCCCATGAAATGTATACTACAATTGTAAAAACATCCTGCCAAGCCTTCTTATCACAACATAAGAAGATAGAAATTCATCAAATGTGCTTGAAATACTCTATCTCCAAATATCAAGGAGGGCCTCCTTGTATTTTGTTAATTGCAAAATGAGGCCAGGCGCTGAGGCTTACGCCTATAATTCCAACAATTTGGGAGGCCGAGGAGGGTGGATCACCTGAGGTCAGGAGTTTGAAACCAGCCTGGCCAACATGGCGAAATCCCGTTTCTATTAAAAATACAAAAATTAGCCAGGTGTGGTGGCGAGTGCCTTTAATCCCAGCTACTCGGGAGGCTGAGGCATGAGAATTGCTTGAACCCAGGAGGTAGAGATTGCAGTGAGCCGAGATCACGCCACTGCACTCCAGCCAGGGTGACAGAGCAATAGTCCATCTCAAATAATAATAATAATAATAATAATAATAATAATAATAATAACAATAATAAAACAAAAAAGCAAAATGAATTTGTCTCTAGGGCTCTGTAAGGCCACGACTGCTTAGGAGGCATTCCTATACACCAGTGGGAAGAAGGAGGGCGCTGCAATGGACTGCTTTTCCTTTGTGTAAGCCTCCTGAAATTGGGTTATGTGTTGAAATGTTAATGCTTTGCATAGACTTAGAGGGTTCTAAAATCTAGGATTTCTAGACTCCATGGCATTTACAATATTTCATTGCCTTCCTTTATTTTTATTGTGTTGGGACTTCAAGTTGGGGAATGGGTGCTGGAACATGTGATTTGGGACCCTCTTGTTGATGCTGTGAAGCCATGCGGACAGTAAGGGAGCTTCCCTTCCATGAACGCCTTCTGCATCCTAGTCCTGCCATCAGGTCCCCTTCCATGAACGCCATCTGCATCCTAGTGCTGCCATCAGCTCCCCTTGCATGAACGCCTTCTGCATCCTAGTCCTGTCATCAACTCCCCTTCCGTGAATGCCGTCTGCATCGTAGTGCTGCCATCAGCTCCTCTATACTATGATTTCACACTACCTCTCCCAGGTGTTCAAATTATGACCCATAAGTAGCCTCCACTGGATTAGTAGAGGCTTTTAGTTAAGAGAACAGAGAAAGAAACGGGTATTTATTGGATGCTAACACTGGGCAGAATGTCCTCAGCCTATTATTATTATCAACATCATCATCCTTCTTCTCAGTAGCACTAACACAAAGCAGGTATTGCGTTCCTCCTCTATATATGAGGAAACCTAGCTCTGAAAGGTTGAATGAGTCACCCAAGATGGCAAATGCTGTGGAAATGGGACTAACCGAATTTAGAGTATCTGTAAAGCTTATGTTCTTTCACTCTGACGCTTTAGTATCCCCGCGATGTGAACATATACTTTGGGCTTTCTTTGTCCCTGGGATACCACCAGCTGTCTATGGCATTCAGGGGTCTCTGGGGCCATAGCTTGTAGGTGGAGCTTTGAGGCAGCATGTCCGATGGCTGTGCAATGTCCACTGAGAATGTGGCTTAATGGTGGTTGCAGTAACACGACAGGGGCCCCTCTACATGTGTGGTAGGAAGGGAAGGATAGTGCCTCCTCAACCCTTCATCCTTCACAGGAGGAAGACATGGTGGCCCACAGCTGAGAGAACGCATGCTCAGGGATTTTCCCTGACTGCTCCTTGCCTTAAGCAATGTCATATGAACAGGCTGGTGGCATAGGGTTGGTTGTGAAATCTGTAGCCATGCAGGACAGTGGCCTTCAGTAGCTTGTTCAGGAGGCCACGCCCCAGACCACCATCTGGTAGGCACCACTAGCCATATGAGACCATGTGCCAAATGCAGACCTGTGCAGAGCAGACGGGGAGCCCTGTAGCCTGGCCTCTGAGACAGAGCCTGTGGAACACCAAGTCCCCTCACTGTCATGCGTGGAATAGTCTCCAACATGAATTTTCAAAGAAACACTCATACAGACAGAGTTTTCTTTCTGAAATCTGCTCCATGAATGGCTTCATCCTAGGGAGGAGAGACTGTTGTTTCCTTGATGGGATGATGTGGGATTTGGGGAGACTCTTGAATGAAAAGAGGAGAGTTTGGCAAGCAGAAGCGGAAGGATTATTATAGGCCTATGAGTCACAGACACTGCAGGCAAACGACGCAGAGAGTGGAGGGTGGGAGGATCCAGAGAAAGGAGGTGAGGCCAGGGGAGCCAAGGAAGAGTGTAGCAGTCAGGGATCTCCAGAGAAGCTGGATCAATGGGATGTGTATGTACCTAGAAAGAGATTTATTTTAAGGGCTTGGTTCCCGTGATGATGGAGGCTGGCAAGTCCCAAATTATCAGGGCAGGCCAGCAGGCTGGAGACCCAGGAGAGAGCCAGGCCACAGTTCAAGTCCAAAGGTCATTTGTTGGCACAATTCCCACAAGGTGCCTCCCTGGCTCCAGTAGTCTGGGCTCTTGCTAAGGAAGTGCACTGAGGTCCCAGGGAGACAGGAGACAGCTCCACCAGAAAGCTTTGCAGGGGCATCTGAGCCGTTCCCAGAGCCTGGCTCCACACTCCACCCCAAAGTCACCTCTGCTATTGCACCCAAAGGGACCAGGCAGTTGGTCATGCCATAAAATGTGCTGAGCACTTGCATGGCTGGGCAGTGGCTTTGCAAGGAAGCTTGGAACAAAGGCAGTGGCTCTCTCAGATGATGTTCAAAACAACCTGAAGACCTCAGCTGCTGCCATAGGCAAGGAAAATGGACAAGAATTCCCATACGTCAGGGATCCAGGCAGCCTTCAACCTTGGCTGCACATGGGAATGACCTGGAAGTGCTTTTAAGATTCCCAATGCCCAATCTGCAGCCCAGACCAATTCAGAAGCTCTGGAGGAGACATCTGGGCAAAAGTACTTTTAGAAGGTCCCCAGGCGACTCCGAATCTGCAGGCGAGGCTGAATGGCTCTGCCATATACTCTTAGCAGCAATTTGTATTTCCCCTTTCCCTTTGAGGTCCCCTTCTGTCCATTTACCCACTTGCATGCCTGTTAAGGCTCGGGCTCAGGAAAGAGGGTGTTTCCACCATAACACCCATGCCCCTGAGCCTGCATCCTTCCCACAGTGCCTCAGAAGATTTGAAATGAAAATATTTAATGTTTTGACCTTGAGGAGACAGAAGGAAGGGCTGATGTTCCAGACATTGTGAAGGGAACAGAAGCAGGATTTGGTAGAAGTTGTGTGGTTTAATGGAAAGGGGGTAGGTGTCAGAGCCAGCCAGAATGAGCTCTGTGCTGTCACTGGGTAATTCTTTGTTGGAAAAATCTGTCAACCTTACTGAGCTTCAGTTTCTTTTTCCTTAATATTGAGAGAATGATGCCTGTCTCTCTGAGCATGGTGAGGCCTAGAGATAATGAATTGCAAATGCCTGTCCTGTAGTGGGCACTCAACAGATGGTATAAATTACGGGTGACTCCTTGAACCAGGAAAGACACGTGAGAAGTGTTAAAAGCTGGAATTTAACATCTCAATCCCCTCATTTGTCAAATAGGAATAATGTATTGGGTTGAATATGGTCTCACCCCTTTCACCCCCAATACGCACGTCCACCTAAAACCTCCGAATGTGACCGTATTTGGAAATATGGTCTTTACAGATGTGATTAGTTTAGGATCCTGAAATAAATGATACTAGACTTACAGTAGACTCTAAATCTGTGACTAGCATCCTTATAAGAGAAAGGACAGGGAGATTTGAATACAGATTCCAGATTCTCTGTAAGGTAAGAGGTGCAGAGACACACAGGGAAGAATGCCATGTGGAAACAGGCAGATATTGGAGTGATGTGGCCACAAACCAAGGATTAGTGGGAGCCACCAGGATGAAAGATTCTTCCTCAGAGGCTTCAGAGGAAGCATAGTAATCCTGACACCTTGATTTCAGACTGCTGGCTAGCAGAACTGTGAGAGGATACATTTCTATTTTATTTATTTATTTATTTATTTATTTATTTATTGACACAGTCTAGTTCTGTCACCCAGGCTGGAGTCTAGTGGCACGATCTTGGCTCACTGCAATTTTCAATCCCTACTGCCCAGGTTCAAGCGATTCTCCTGCCTCAGCCTCCCGAGTAGCTGGGATTACAGGCGCCCGCCACCATGCCCAGCTAATTTTTGTAGTTTTAGTAGAGACGGTACAAGGGGTTTCACTGTGTTGTCCAGGCTGGTCTCGAACTCCTGACCTCGTGAGCCACCCACCTTAGCCTCCCAAAGTGCTGGGATTACAGGCAGGAGCCACCATGCCCGGCCACATTTCTATCATTTTTAAGCCACCTGGTTTGTGATACTTGGCTATAGTAGCTCCAGGAAACTAAAACAGATAATAATAGTAACTATACTACTTCTACGTTATTGTAACTAAAATAAATTTATATTGCAAATATAACTAAATTTAGTAATAGTGAAATTTTAGCTAAATGTGAATTGGGATTATTTAGATGCTAGGTAAGCAGTCTAGGGCGATGATTTCTGTGCTAGGAACAAAGGCCACTGGTGCTTGGAGGGCCTTTCAAGTGTGACTGTGTGAGGGATACAGTGAAATGGCAAGAGTTGAGTTTAGGAAGGGACAAGGTGAGATGCAATAAGTCAACACCAAAGAGTGCCCTCTCGGGCACCTCCACTCACCAACCAGGGAAGAGCAGCTGGTTATCCTTTGATCTCTATCTCACAAGCACCTCATGCACAAATAGCTTAGCATCTTCTTGGCTGTCATCTTGGGGATCCCCCTTAAAGTTATACTTTCAATCCCATTCCCAATAAGCGACCACAGAACCACGATTCATGCAGCCGCGGCATTTTCGTTAAGCCCTAGAATGAATGGGTAAGTTTCCCTTTGTCATTGTGTATATAGTCATGCAAATAATCCGTGTCTTCCATGCTTGGGGTCTAAAATGGTTCCCAAGTGGACTTAGATATGTTCCTCTGTGAATTGGCAGGGCATTTTGGAATGGTTCTTTCCTTCCCCTTGATTTGAGGATTACATGGAAATCCACATTGCTGAGTGGGAAAACTCTGAATTGGTGTCCAGCAGTTCTTTTGGCCTCTTCCTCTTAGTTTGGTGATATGTGACGGCAATAAAAGGTCATGATGGCAGGATGAGTCTGGAAAAGGAGAAATACTGGCAGTGATACTGCAATCTATTTTGCAAGAAAGAGAATTTTATTTAACCACATGATTTTAAAAATTGGCAAAGTTGCCGGGTGCAGTGCCTCACGCCTGTAACCCCAGCACTTTGGGAGGCCAGGGTGGGTGGATTCATCTGAGGTCAGGAGCTCGAAACCAGCCTGACCAACATGGTGAAACCCCATCTGTACTAAAAATACAAAATTAGCTGGGCATGGTGGCACACGCCTGTAATCCCAGCGACTCGGGAGGCTGAGGCAGGAGAATCACTTGAACCCAGGAGGCGGAGGTTGCAGTAAGCCGAGATTGTGCCATTGCACTCCAGCCTGGGCAAGAAGAGTGAAACTCCATCTCAAAAAAAAAAAAAAAAAATTGGCAAAGTTCAGTTAATGTATATATATAAAATGACAACATAAGTGCATTTTAGAATGTAGCTAGAAAAATTTTAATAAGGAATAAAACATGTCTAGATGGGAGTCTTCAGAATCACGTACCAGATTCCTGGCAAGGTATTGTAAAAGTCATACAGTACATGTTTTCCTAACTCTATGTCATCTAACTTCATTATTAGAATCTTAATAAAATTTAGTGTTGAGTGAAAACAAATCCCTAAAGTGTAACCAAATATATTTGCTCAGGCCAGACTTAAGCCTCAGCGGAAGGTTTTGTAAGCTCTTACGGTGGAAGGGATCTTTTTCTTCTTCCTGTTAGCATCTCAGAGGAGCTGAGTCTAGCAGAGCAGCTGCTAACAGAGGAAGCTGGGAAAGCCAGGCTTGGCGTCCCAAAGGAGCGGCAAGATGAAAGCATGCAATCCTCCATACAGGCCTGCAAATGCCAGGTGGATGACCACCATGTCCTTACACTCAGGCCATGGCATGCATATGGCCAGGGACATACATTTAGTAGGCACTGTATAATGAATGAACGAACCCTACAGTGTGGTGGAGTGCAGTGTTGTCCAACTTACTGAACTAAGTTGAACCCTATCCATTAATTTCTTATTGGATTAAGAAATTCATTATTTTTTAATAACACTATTATTGGATTAAGACATCAATTTCATGGTCACGACATATTTTAATGGAATAGGAAACAATATCCTAGAAAATAAAGGGGTATGTCACCCATATTAAAAGCAAGTATGAGTTTATGAAACTTTTCACACAAGTGTGTGTGTTATGAGTGTGTGTGTTTCTACTGGATTATGATGTAAAATGTATTTCTGAGGGTATCACTTAAGAAAGATTGAGCACTGTTGGTGGAGTGGAAACTATTTGAGGCATTTGGGTCAGATAGATCTTGATTTGAATTCCAATGCCACTGTCAGACACTGAGCGTGTTACTTAAATCCATCTGAGCATCACATATGCATTTAAAGTCAACCATATGGTACGCACTGTGCTCAATGAGGGAGATACAGTGGTGAGTAGGACATACTCCTGTCCTCAAAGAAACACAAAATATGCCCTTAATAAGTGTCCACCTCTCTTCAGCACTTCAGTATCTCTGTGACTGGTTGGTAAGACAGATGTCTGGATAAAAAGAGATCTTGGAGAATCTCAATACTGCTTGAGGTTCTTCAGGAGCCCAGGAATCCTAATTTTTTCTTTGCTCTGTCTTCTTTCTTCTTAAGCATGGCAACAACTCATAGGTAGGAAAAGCTGTCATACTCATGCATTTTGAGGGAAATTTGAGAAATATCAATACCCAAAGCTTCTACATGGAGCCATTCATGTTATCCAGTCTTTGTTTCCAGAATCATCGTAGGACCCTGATGAGAGTAGCACCAACTCTCCAACATAAATTCGAGAAAATGAAAAAGTGGCATTGAATATCTACACGGAACTTCAGAAATACAACACACACACACACACACACACACACACTCATACACACAAACTCATGAGCAATCATAGTAATTTGAACAACAACAAAAACCATGATGTTGAAATTTGGAGGATGTAGAACCTAAGAGTCTAAGAAAGATTAATTTATGCTACCAACAAACACACGTTTAAATTGTGGGAAAAAAGCATGGTGGCAACGCAACACTACTCTCTCAAGACACAAAGCAGGTCAGACGTGGTGGCTCACGCATGTAATCTCAGCACTTTGGGAGGCTGAGGCAAGCAGATTGCTTGAGGCCAGCAGTTCAAGACCAGCCTGGCCAACATGGTGAAAACCCGTCTCTACTAAAAATACAAAAACTATCTGGGCATGATGGCACATGCCTGTAATTCCATCCTCTTGGGAGGCTGAAGCATGAGAATTGCTTGAACCTGGGAGGCAGAGGTTGCAGTGAGCCGAGATTGCACCACTGCACTCCAGCTTGGGTGATAGAATGAGACTCCGGCTCAAAAAATAAATAAATAAAAGACATAAAGCAAGTTTAAATTCCTGTAGTGCCAGCCAGATAATCAAGGCTGGAAACAGAGTGGCACATCACAGCTCTGTCCCCTCTGTCCACCCCTCCAAGGGCACGCAGAATTTAGTTGACCTACCAGCTGCCAAAATCATGGGCCAACTTCATTTTGGGGTGCTCTACCCACCAAGTAGCTCTCTCAGGGAGGGGTGCAGAACAATCATAACCTGCATCTATTGGCAGCTCACACGGTGAAAAATTATGAACTAGGCAAGTTTTGTCCTTGGAGTCTGCAGCTGACCCTTCCGCACCTGTTCCTTTACTAACAATATCCTCATTTTCGCTCTGCCAAGCACGCCCTCCCTCACATTAAAACTTGCTTTCAAATCATCAGATATCCTTCACTGAGAATTGAACATGCATGAGTTTCATAGGTCACTTCTTTCAGAAGTATTTACATGTTAAATCTGGCTCTCCATATGAAATGGGCGGCTTTATTGGTGAAAGAATTTTTTTGTACATTAGCAAGATATTTAGGGTGGCAGTGAGAACAGAGGCCCTTTTCATGGCCCCGAAATAACTACACCATGCAAGAGGCTGACGACATCATGGTAACGATGATGTGCTAGTCAGACTAGACTGGGCCTTAATGATAAACACTTGCCATCCGTCAGGAAGGGGTGAGAAGTCACCTAAGGTGAAATGAATTATGATGTAAACAAGGTTTGTCTTCAACATCCCCCCACCTCCTGTTTAAGGATCAGTCTTCCGGACTGGGACCCTAGTAGCTCATAGGCTCTCCTTTGAGTCATTAGGGCCATCTAGTCATCCACTCTAGAGCTTCCCTGCACGCAAGCCATTTATCCTCCAGGCCACTCCTCATCTCCTTCTCCTTTTCATCAAATGTATCTGCTATGCGTCCTATTCTATCAATGTTCATTCACTACCAGTCCACATGAAACTGCAATTTGCTCGTCACTGTAAATAGAATTGTGGTATGTAAGATGGAGAGAGTATCTGAAATGAAACAATAACTCTAATGTTGAGACTATCAGCTTCCAGGGAAGCCTAGGGTGGAAGATAACTGGTGATGATGCCTGTAAGGTTAAGAAGCTATAAGGAATCCTCAAGTCCGCCTGTATTTTTGAGTACTTTCTAATGGTGCAGAGTTAGGCTTTGTTGGAGATATAAAGAGGTAGACACGGCCCCTCATCCCGGGAGTTTGCAATCAAGCAGGTGGGATGGTGAATTAGGCCATTCTTGCATTGCTATAAAGAAATACCTGAAGCTGGGTAATTTATAAAGAAAAGAGGTTTGATTGGCTCACAGTTCTGCAGGCTTTACAGGAAGAATGGTGCTGGCATCTCCTGGGCTTCTGGGGAGGCCTCAGGAAGCTTACAATCACGGCAGAAGGTGAAGGGGGAGCAGGCACGTTATATAGTGAGAACAGGAGCAAGAGAGATGGGAGGAGGAGGGGCCACACACTTTTAGACAACCAGATCTCGCCAGAACTCACTATGGCGAGGCCAGCCCCAAGAAGATGGCATTAAATCATTCATGAGAAATCCACTCCCATGATCCAAACACCTCCCACCAGGCCCCACCTCCAACACTGGGTATCATGATTCAACACGAGATTTCGAGGAAACAACACCCAAACTATATCAGACGGAGATCTTGGGAGCCAGGCACTTGCATCCACCACTTTAAATAATCTTATTATTTAATTGTGGTGGTATCATTATCTAACTTTGCAGACAAGGAACCAAGGCTCAGAGGAGTAAACTATTTTTATCCAAGGTGAGTCTCTCTCCAAGGGGCTGACTAGTGCCTCTCTTAGGACAGTAGCAAGTTGGAATAAAATCTGGCATGCCTAAGGTCTTTAAGGAACAGGGGATGCTTACTTCTTTTGCGTTCCTCTGGCGGCCTACATAGCATACTTAAGCTCCTTCTGGATAGACTGTGTCCTCTTATTCACATGCTGAAGTTGTTATATATTTTTAAACAAATAAAAAGTGAATAATACATTTTTCTAAAAAGTAACTGATTTTCTCTAGGTTCCATACAGATAGCCAGCCATGGGAGTCAGAATTTGAACTCAGATCTGGTCTGGTTCTGAAGCCTCTCTTCTTTCCAGCTGTGAGACAAAGGAGCAAATATGAGAAGCACCTTTTGCTCACTTCTGCTTGCCAGCAGAATTTCACAAAAGCCCTGGACTGTGAAGATGTTTGGAAAGATGCTTTGAAGACAAAACCTTTAACAGGGTTAGTGTTTATGCCTCTGTAATCTACAACCGGATGCGCTCTTACACCCAAGCCTTGATGGGATTCTGCTGCGACGGAAATTCTGAGCAAATTTGATGTGATTGTGCAGGTACTGAACCTCCACTTCCTGTCTGTAAGCAGTGGGCTGAAATCCTGGGCTGGAGCAGTCTCATAGGATCTGACAGGCTGTTGCCAGGCTGTAGGCCTTGGTCTGTAGTCCTCAGTAAGACTTCTGAATACAACTAACTTTAATTCTTTAAAAGCTTGACTGTTTTCTTTAGTCGGCATGGCATTCCATACCATTCCAGAAACAGAAGCCAGGAGGATACGTGAAGGAGAGAGCAATGGCATAGTGTGTGAAGCTGATTAGCTGTTAACTAGCAGAACTGAGAGAAGGCAGCCGGCCAAATGCCCCGGAGGGGCAAGGAAAAGCTTTTTCAGAGAGTTGGGAAGTGGCACTCCAGTGAGGTCGGAAGCCATGAAGGTTGACTTATTTATTCCACAGTAGCTACAAGAAGAGGGGTCTTTCTAGGGAGTGTGACCAGTTTAAGCAAAGGCTTGGGAGGAGGAATAATAACGTGCTGGAAGTGGGAAAGGGGACCTGGTTAAGGGGCTGAAAGTTATTCCTTGTGGATCACCTTCTCATCACACGCTCTTTGACCTCATTGTAGTTCAATGGAGGGAAAGAGAGTCAAAAGCAGGAGGGAAGTTTGTTTCTAAGCGGACAGGGGCTCAGCAAACCCAGTCTTCCCCGCAGTCTTACCTGGAGCCATTGCCTGGGGAAGAGGGTGTTCAGGCCACAGTATCCCAAGGCTGGGGGCACCTTTGCTCAGAAGCCCCCTGTGGTGCTGCTCCTCAAGAGCCTCCTGGGAGGAAGGGCCAGGGAGCCAGGCGGTTCTCCCTTCCCCTTCTGGAATCCTGGCCAGTTTCCATGTACATAACCCAGCTTAATCCATAGAAACAGGAGCTGCAAGGCATGTTCTTTCTCTTTTTTTCCTCTCCAAGACACGGAAACCTTTATTTTCTCCCTACATCACAAACCGGTACTGTTAAATAATATTGGATAATTGCACCTGTCGTACTCCCCATATTGTGCTGGGGAAAAATAATTGCTGGTTTTCTGCTTTGCCGTTTAGCTGTGACTCCGTCATTTGACTCGGAGCATGTCATTTTCTCCCATTTTAGACCGTGTACAGTCAAACCCTGTGAAAGGACTCACAGATAGCGGCCCTGCGTGTATGAGTGGGCGCGGGCCTCATTCAGCAACGATTTCTAATTTATACAGCATTGAATATCCACAGCTATAAATAAACAGTTCTGACTGGCTTTGCTGCCTACTCAAATGCTTTATTAAAAAAAAAAAAGTCACCAGCAACTGCATGAGAAAGGAAAACAAGAATGTCTGGATGTGGATTCTGGCTTCTGAATCCTGGGCTTGGGAGTGGAGACGCCCCACCTTGGGAGCGGCTCAGTGCTCAGCCCCTCCAGTTTTTGGAAGGCCTGGCCTCCTCGCTCCTCGCTCAGCCCCTCACGCTCCCCACGTGTGGGTGCAATGTGTTTGGGGATTACAGTATATGAAACTGGCTTCCTGTTATGACAAGTATTGCAAGTGAGTAGGTGTGGAGGAGCTGAAAATAGCTTAAGAAATGTAGGACCCTTCTGGGGAGAGAATGGGGTTAAGGCATTGTTTAGGCAACAAGACGAATCTTCTACCCAAATTCAAAATTGGTTTCAAATGTGAGACAGCAACACTGGAACAGAAGCATGAGTATAGGCCAGTCCCTGGGGTAGTGGTGGCAGCGTCCTTCCTCCTCCTGTAACGGGGACAGTTTCCACCAATTTGGGATCTCTTGACCACCTTCTTTTGTCCAGCTCTGCAAGATGTGGACACATTTCTGTTTTGTTTTTTAAATAAAGTTTTTGGATGACCCGGTACTGCTTTGCTCTGTAAGAAAGAGGAAGGAAAGTGGGCTCAGGAGTCAACTATCCATGTGACCTTGGACTTGTCATTTCCCTGCTCTGAACGCAGAGGTGTGCTGGAGCCAGTTTGCACAACAGGCTCTCGAGGACTAAGTGGTTGTCCACATCTCTTCCCAACTGTACATTCAGCAACGTGCTGCCAGCTTGAAAAAGGCCATGGGGAGAGTGTTTACACCATGGAAATGAGCACACATTATCAATCAGAGCCTGACATCTTTTCCCCAGAGAGCTGGTTGTTAAACCTTTCCCAGCACACCACCCTCAGAAACTCAGTTTGCTCATTTGTAAAATGAGAACGTAACTCATCTCCTACTTACGAAGTTTCCGTGGGCTAGAATAAGTGGGAGTGGTGATGAATTACTTGACACTACACAAATATTGCTGGTATCATCATGTGGTTGCTATAGTTGTCATTTTCTATTAAGGGCCTAACATAGTGCTATGCAATCTGCAAATACCATATACCTTTTAGCAAATGTTTAATCAGTGTGTTATTGTTTTGTTGTGTATCTTTTCTTAAGCTACTGCAGCACCGAGCATGCCCTTGTGTGCTTAGGCATGTGCTCAATGGGAAATTGTTCCGAGACATTTCTAGTGTTGGAAGAGATATTGCACAATGGCCAGGCATGCTGCAATCAAGGTTTAATTTGGTCCTAGGGCCAGTAAAGCCACAAATAGAAATTTGCAGGCTCATCCCCACCAAGAGCTTACTGTGACTGAGAGTTACGCAGCCCGAGTCACCTCTGGGGTGTGGAACATTTGGGTGATCCCCCGAGGGCTTCACGTTTGGGGAATTTCCACTGTGGCAACTGTTTCTGAGCTCCTGCTGAGACCAGGTGCTTGGAGCAGTGAAGAGGCAGCAGTAGATGTGGGGAAAGAGGTGGTATTCCCAGCTCCAACTGGAAAAGACTTGAGGCCCATATTAACAGAACAGTAGAAAAAGAAGTGGGAATTAAGCAGGTTTCTTGGTGCCTGCCCTGGTCTTCCCTTAGGCTGCCTTCCCACCTGAGATATTCTGTCCTCTTCTGTAACCCTTCAAGACCACTCTTGCTCATTTTTACCAGATTTCTCCTACATAATGTTAGGTTGGGAAGTCCAAGTCCAATTTCCTTCAGTGTCCACACCCCAACCCATATGAGCCTAGTGACATACTAGTAGACTCAAATATGTCTACCCACCAATAGCCATTTGCCATTTGTGTTCTTTAAAAAATGTGCCCACAAATAAAGGCCAGGAAAATAACACTAGGAAAATCACAGCAGGGATCATGAATCCTTGTTAAGCATCTGGAAATCAGCTTTGTTAAACCACACACTAATTCAGAAAAGTGCTTTGTAGCAAAGCAATCTCAACAGCCCTTATAATTCTATCACTTCCCATCCAGATTCTTCTGCAAGCAAAATTTATTACTATACCATTTATTTGATGAATTAATCAATGTTCAAATGGAAGAGGTTTTGACAATGTCACTATGTTTGATGTTTATACCTGCCCTGAATGCTTGCTCAGAAGAGAAACAGATTTCCCAGTATTTTTTATAACTTACTTTCCCATTGTCTTCAATTAATTTGCTATTATCCCAAGTAGACAGACAACTTCAGTAGTAGCCATCTCCCTACATTTTTAGATCACTGAAAAAAATGGATGAGCAACCCATGAAAATAACTAGCTTACTGAAATGCTTGTCTTTTAAAGAAAGTTGGGATTATTTAAAAAAAAAAAAATGGCCCAGGACCAGTAGCTAGGAGATCTGGGAGAGAGAAGTCATTGCCTTGGTTCTGACACTAAGTAACCCTTTTGCCTTTTGCAGGTAACTTCTCATCTAGGTCCTCAGCATCCTTCTCTGTAAACTGAAGAGTTTAAATGACTCTAAGTTCCTCTCTCTCTCTCTAGATGTTCTCTAACACCAAGTTTATGTGAGTTTCTTTGGCCAGATTTTAACCAGAGACCATCCTCCACGAAGGTCAAAGATAATTAATTCTGAGATAGCAGGAGTTGTTTTTGGCATGTGCAGTCAACCTTTCAAAAAACCAAGAGTTCTCAAGTTAAGCTACCTTCACGAACCTCTTATTAAATTTAAGTATCACTCTCTGTCCCTCCTACTTTGCTATGTTCCTCCACCACCTCCCTCCACCAGAAAAAAAAAAAAAAGATGAGAAAAATCTCTTGTGTTTTCTTCTTTCTTGGTTCTTGGAAAATGGTGTGCAATTACTTCCTCTTCTTCCGTGGCTGCCTCATGTCACCTGTACAAACAAGAACAGAGACAGACCTCAGGCTTCAGGCTTTCCCTAATGGGTATTTTTGTTGTGGGTAGAGATTCACTCTGACTTGGGGCAGTGGAAAGTTGAACACACTTTTCCCAAGGTGACAAGATGCAGTTTAAGGAGTTATGAAAAAACAGCTGCCACGATGACAGGGGCAGAGAACAACTCTGCCGTCCTCCCTCAGTGCTGGGTTCACAGTTAGCCAGGCACCCACGATGCTGTTTGCCTTCAGGTACTCTGCATAGCTAAGAGGAAGCATATTGCTGTGACTCTGAGTGAGTGTCTGCAGGCTACACACAATCCATCAGCAAACTTTGAGACTTTGCAGATGGAGATGAAGAGACCACATCAAATTAGAGAGGAAATAGAAGGGTGGATGTTCAACTAATTGGGGTCATTCTGTGACCTCTTAGCAAATGAATTCATCAGCCTGGTGGAAAAGTACTGGCATATGGATTAGGTTTGAGTAAGCTCATTAGAGGGGCATTATTCTACTGAAATTATAGCATTAGATTTGTAGAATGACTTCTATTCAGCCAACAAGTTGGTACTCCATATTTAATGATCATAAATCTTTGTGTAAGCTCTGCAATTTGTGAAATTTCATTAGCTCATTATCCTTTGTGCTTGTTGCCAAATACTGTCAATGCTACTTTAAAAACTTCTCCTCCATTCCAGAACTTACAGCCCTGGTAGTTCTGGCTTGGTATTCCTGCAGCAAATCCATGCTCCTAATTCCATGATTCACCCTTCAAACCCTGCCACCTTCATCAATTCTATCCTTAACAGTAAACACTAGATATCTTATACTCATTCCATTCTGCTGGAACTCCACTTCTTAGAGGCTATCATGACTGGTGACTTGAAGTCCTGTTTGTGGCCCCTTAATTACACTGATTTCCTAGGATGGCCACCTCTTGATCATGCAGTCCTCATGGCTATCCTTGTATTCATCTCATGCAAAATTTTCAAGATCAAAACTCTGTCTTCTTCGTCTGCTCCTCATCAATCTAGACTACCCCAGTCACTTCAGCCGAGGCTTATTGTTTATCAAGCTTTATGGATTTCACGTTGTTTTCATTGGTGTGTCTACTTCTTTCTCTTCTGTTTTTCCCTTTTTTTTTTTTTTTTTTTTTTGAGACAAGGTCTTTGCCCAGGCTGGAATACGGTGGCACAATCTCAGCTCACTGCGGCCTTGAGCTCCTGGGCTGAAGTCCTCCAACCTCAGTCTCCTGACTAGTTGGCACTAGAGGTGCACACCACCATGCCCAGCTTTTTTTTTTTTTTTTTTTTTTTTTTTTTTTTTGCTTTTTTATTAGATACAGGGTCTCACTATGTTGCTCAGGATGATCTTGAACTCCTGGCCTCACCACAAGGGATCCTCCCATCTCAGCCTCCCAAAGTGCTAGGATTACAGGCAAGAGCCACCACCCTTGGCCTTATTTTCCATTTTTGATGTGAATTCTCTCCTCCCTAGTTAGGGCTTCTCTACATTAGGTCTATAAGTACAAGCACAGTACCTCCTTTTTCTGTAGAGTATACTCTGGGCCTTTAATGAATTCTTTTTCAATTAAATAACCAGCTCACATACAAGAGGGACAATATAAACTTGGTCAATATAAACTTCTCAAATTTCTACCCCGCAGTCACTCTGAGGATTCCTAAAACTTTCTTTTATCCATGTTGTTTACCAATCCCCAAGCCCTCAAGCCTAACTGTAATAATAACCTCAGTCCTTCCACCCCAGGTGTTGAGGACTGAAGACTCCCTTCTCCATTTAAGAAATGCAACAGAACACGAAGGTTTGGAGAAAAGCCACCCAGGAGCAGACATGGTGGTATGAAGCTCTGCTGGGGGAGGACAGCAGGTGGTTCCCTCCATTGGATTAGAGTCCTCTGTCCAAAACCAAGTAGCTAGGAGGAACACTCAGAAATGCCCACATACCCATCCACATGCTAGAGAAGGCACTGTTCCCAAATGGGTCTCTGTGGTGCTCCCAAAGTCATTTTATTCTGTAGGGACTCATGTGGCGTGAACGTTGCAAAAATCATGTTTCTTTTTGCTTCTAGCAGCTGGGAATGGCAAGCGGGTCTTAGTCTTGAATTCTCACAGAGCTAAGCAGTTTGTAGGCTTCTTTAAGTCTTCAAAATTTATCTCTGACCATGCTTTTTTTCTTTTTCTTTTTCTTTTTTTTTTTTTGAGACAGGGTCTTCCTCTGTCACCCAGGCTGGAAGGCAGTGGTGTGATCTTGGCTCACTGCAACCTCTGCCTCCCAGATTCAAGTGTTTCTCCCACCTCTCAGCCTCCCGAGTAGCTGGGACTACAGGTGTGCGCCACCACACGTAGCTTTTTTTTTTTTTTTTTGTATTTTTAGTAGAGATGGGGTTTCACCATGTAGGCCAGGCTTCTCTTGAACTCCTGAGCTCAAGTGATCCACCCGCCTCGGCCTCCCAAAGTGCTGGGATTACAGGTGTGAGCCACCGCACCCAGCCTTCTGACCATGTTTCTATAACGCATAGCTGGAAATAAGGAAACTGTTGACTTAATAATAGATCATATATCTTACCCAAACCAAATTCACAAAATGGATTTTAAGTTGTAATTGGAAAATTATGTTTATTATAAATATTTTCTTGATTGAGAAGCATTTTTCCCAGTAGAAAGTATCCTAGTTGGCAGATAGGAAGTTAGATTCACCCCGACTTGTTTTATTCCTTTAACTGCTGTCAGATAGTAGCAAGGGCTAGAAATATTTTTATAGCCCTGATATTTCACCTGATATTCTTGACCAGTTGGTGCTTGGCTGGTGACTTCCAATCGGGCCACTGGAAGCAGATTCCAACAGATTCTAGCCTCCATCTTTGCAAGATCTGAACAGAAACTGCAGGCATGGCCAAGAAATTATTGTTTCAATCAACATCACCATAGATACCATATATAATTATATGCCTTATTATTCCAATAGTTAGAAATCAGGATAAATAAAAACATAGTATTCTCAAAGATTTACACCTATGTATCTACAACCACAAAAATGAATGCCAGGCATTGAAAATTTGAAGAACATTTGCCTAGTTTCAGTGGGCTGACTCAGAAAAGGGCAAGAAAATTGATGGTTGGGGGGATAGCAGGTGTTAGAGAAATGAGATCTGAGCACTGATAGTCCTGTGTTCACACTGCAGAAGTCCAGGGAGGACAGGGAACTGAGGGCTGGCTGGAGAAACTCCTGTGGGAAAGAGGCTGAGGAAGAGGCAGGGAGGGTAATCCACAGCGGGCTCTTTTTGAGTTTAGGGAGATGAAGTTAGGACAAGAAAGGCAAAATGGAGATAAATTTTTGCCATTGACTAAATGCTGCCCCAGTGGGACCATGCTTTAGAAGTACCTGTGGAGTCATCGCATGATAAAATTCTTTTGCTATGGAATAAGCAGAGTTAATAAGACAAACCTCATCTAATTCCTTCATGAATAAAACAAGGAGGTGGATTAGATGGCCTCTAGGCAGCTTTCATCAAGAAAATCTGCCTTTTAAAAAACCTGGTTTATGGCAAATAATATTAAAAGAAAGTTTCCATGTCATTCTGTCCAGGACACACTCCCAGCGCCACTTGGCCAGGCTGGAATTTTCAGCTTACAGTCTGTCCTTAGGATGAGAAGGACCTATGGTCTTAGGGGCCCTGACAAAGGACAGCCTGACTCCTGGCATGTGTCCATCAAGGGGCATAGGGAGAGGGGTCACAGGCCCTGGATAAGCTGACTGTCTCTCCAACCACCCCCACATAGCAGAGGCCCTGCCATTTGGGCCTGGAGGTGTTTAGCCCCTTTCTGTGCCCCATATCTCTTGTGGGATGATTTTCTCTTCCTGAGGAGCTTGTGTGCTGGTGTCAGCATCCTTGTGTGCTATCAATCATCAAAGAAAAAAAAGAAAATTAAGCACATAAGGGGCAGAGAAGGGAGCCTTTGATAGGATGTCCTGATTGCCTCTTGCCCCCAGTCAATGTGGAAGAGAACCTGCCCTGGGCATGCCTGGGTGTTCAGTCATGGTCATGGTGAGCCAAGCTCTCAATGTCTTGCCAGAGACAGCTTCCCCCATCTGCTTCTATCATGGTTTGAAGTTAACATTCCATCTAACTCCTCCCAAAAAGTAGAAATTGAATCTTTCTTGGGGGATGACTGGTCCCAGTAACTGACTCTGTGCTTGCCCAACCCTCTGCCTCATGACACAGAAAGGCTAGCCCAGGGCAGGGAGTGAGATGGTGACAGGTCAGGCCAGGTGGCCCTGAGGAACCTCTTGTGAGCTTTTTGAGCCTCAGTGCATTCTTGAAGGACCTTCCTGTGGGCCATGACAACACTTGCCTCCTTGACGCTCAAAGCCAGTTCCCTGCAACTGAGTGCCCTGGGAGGACCTCATCATACACTTTCCAATTTAACATGTGATTCCCAGTATGGTTTCTTATTGCTGTCCTTCTTGCTCTCTTGTCCATATTCACCCACTGATGTGGCACAGGAGGAGGGAGAAAGTGAGTAGATGTTCAGCTATTGTGACCATCACCACCAACACCCTTCTCAGTCCAGCAGCCCACTCAGGAGAGCACCACACTGCACAAGGATGCCGTAGACAGAATTATCCACATTGGGAGGAGTCCAGGGTCCTGAGATGTAATAGAGCCTTGTCCTCAGACCAGCAGCATCAGTATGTCTGGAGTATGCGTTAGAAGGGCAGAATCTCAAACTGCACCCCAGATCCACTAAATCAGAATCCACACTTTAACAAGATCTCCGGGTTCCCCAAGATCCTCATTTTGATGAGCATCAGAGGCCTATACAGGTTTGAGAAGCGTTGCTCTGTAACAGCGGTTCCGGATCCCGATTGCAAGTTAAAATAACTGGGAAGCTTTAAAAAATACCCATGTCGAGTCACCATCTCTAGAGATATGGATCTAATTGGTCTAAGGCAGGCCTGGGAATTATTATTTTTTAAACTTCCCTAGTGTTTCTGTGATGTAAAAAGCCAAGGTGGAGAACTACTGCTAGAGAGCTACTGTCACATTGAATGGGTCTTGACTGATACTTCGCCTGATGTTCTTGACCGCTTGGTGCTTGGCTGGTGACTTCAAATTGGGCCACTGGAAGCAGAGATTCCAGTTGTGTCTCAGGATTTCAGAAGCAGAGATTCCAACAGATTCTAGCCTCCAATAGCCTGACCTCCTATTTGCTGTAAGTACCTGAGGACGTGCATCATCTCTGTCCGTCTGCTATCGGGTAGCTGTTACCTTTAATCACTTGCAGCTGGGAAACTGGTAATTTATACATCAACTCAAAGGGGAGAATGAGGGAGAATAAGATGACCAGCAGCAGTGACTAACTGTATGCCAGGTCCTGCTGTAGGCGCTAGATCCTCAGCAAGTCATCTGAGGTTCTCCGTGAGCCCAGGAGGAGGCCACTAGCATTATCTCCACTAGGACAAGAGAAAGCTGGGGCACAGAGACCTTCAGTGTCTCACTCAGTGTCACAGGTACAAGTGGCAGGGCCAAGATAGAGACTGAGGCAGTTTGGCACCAGAACTTTTCTTCTAACCACAGCCCCCGACTGCCTCCCTAAAGCATTCATTTGAATTTCTCCTGTCATCAAAGGGGGCTCAGGCTGTGGAAGGAGGGAAAACATAGGCTTAGCTCTGGCTTTGGACAGAATACGTGGCTATCTATAAGTTTCCAGAACTGAAGATCTGGAGAAAGGCTCACTAGTAGGGGAACCAGTCAACTGAGTGCCCAAGCCTAGACAATATTAAACCTTATGAATACTGGCACAGCAGGAATAGACAGGGATCATCTCAGGCCACCTGGGCTTGGTGGTCACTCTACTTAGAGGCTGTCTGATCACTGAGGAATTGAAGTGCATTGCCACAGAATACATGGTTGGTTTGCGGCCAGGTGAGGGATATACCCTTTTCTTTTTTTTTGAGATGGAGTCTTGCTCAGTCACCCAGGCTGGAGTGCAGTGGCGCGATCTCGGCTCACTGCAAGCTCCGCCTCCTGGTTTCATGCCATTCTCCTGCCTCAGCCTCCCGCGTAGCTGGGACTACAGGCGCCCGCCACCACACCCGGCTAATTTTTTGTATTTTTAGTAGAGACGGGGTTTCACTGTGTTAGCCAGGATGGTCTCGATCTACCGTGGCTTTCTTGATTCCTATTCCAGTGCTCTTTCCCCTGTTTAATACTTTCTGCCCTAACATGCATGTCTTCAACAACTCTCTAACTGGTACGCCTTGTCATCACCCTCCTATACTCCTTAAACTCCCTGCCCAATACTCTACAGCCATTAGAGTCACTCCTTATCTGCTGTCTCCAGAACACCTTTGCAAAAAGTTGTACTTTACACCTAGGAAAAAAGGCCCTTGGATATTCTATTGTCTGCACTGATTGAGGCAACGAGAAAGCTAATGGAAATAGTGGATCTTGAGATGAACAAGACATACCCCTAATTCGTAAGACACCCGAGGTCTAGTGGAAAAACAAATCCCTAAAGCAGTAGTAAAACCGCAGTCATGATAAAATGGTAAGTCTGGTGACTGGGAGGTAAAGGGGGAAGCACTGGGAAGGGCATGAAGTCCAACCTGGGCTGACCAGGGAAGGCTTCCTGGAAGAGGCGAGTGTTGAAATGCATGAGTATGAACCAGGCAAAGACTGGAGGAGACACAGAATCCCGTGGACGTAAGAAACAACATCAACGTGGAGGGAAAACCAGCAGTTTGGTGCCACTGGGGCACACATATAGAAGAGCAAAAGCCAAAGCAGGGACTGGGTCACAGAGGCCCTTGTGTGTCATTCCAAGGGTGTGGACTTTCTTCAGTCAATTGGGGGAAGCCTTAGAAAGTGTTTTCAGTAGAATAGGACATGGGGAAATGTGTTCACATAGGTTATTTAGCTTTCAGCAATGTAAAAGTGTTCACTGCATTGCAACTTTAACAAATCTAATTTTTCTTTAATTCGTATTAAATTATTTATAATTAATAAAGATCTGTTCAAGATTTAATACATTTCTGATCTTATTCTGATGTTAAATAGGACCTTTTACCCTTTCTCTTCTTTAAAAAGTTAAAAATCTAGAAAGACCTCGAGAGGTAAGTACAGTCATTTACAATCGTCTCTTTCTACTTGAAAACTTGCATGTACATGAGGTAGTTGAGGGTCCATATGATGCCAGCTTATCTGTTTATTGAGACCTAATTATAGTTAAAAATTGGATGCAGTACTTAAACAATGAGGCTTGTTAAGAACGTTGTATTGAGAATAGTAATTTCAATAATAATAAATATGATGATAATTTTGTTTTTTAATTCAATGGATGTTTAAAATTCACCATAGAGTAACAATTTAAAAATTAACTCAATACATTATTGAACTCAATACAATTGATTTTAAAAGTTATTGTTCTCTAAGCTCTAAGTAATCAAGTTTTTCTCTGTACTTCCTATATCTTAAAGCTTCTTTAAATATATATAGAGAGAGAGAGATTTGGGGAGGCATCAGAAATCTTTACCCAGAACTTCAAGGAGCCAAAACTAGTTAGAATTATATGTCAACACATCTGAAATGTCAACACATTTTTTTTTTTGCGATAATTTTCTGTGATTTGGAATCCTGATTGGGAAGTAATTTTTAGTATTCCATTTTTTTAAGTGTTTGCTTTCAAAGAGAATTTTGCCCTTGAGAGTTTCTTAAACCAGTCAAATTCTCCAAGAGTAGAAAACATGTGATACATCCAAGTTGCGTGCTTATTTCTCCAGGGTCTCAGCTTCCTCTCAGAAACGCACACTCTGGTACTGAACCTTCTGAAACTGTCAGGTTTTTTTTGCATACACGGGCTTATGTTTTCACACCAGTTCATAGATTGGGCGGAAGATGGCACTTCTGCCATCTCTATTTTGATAGAACAGAATGGCATGTGGGCGAGTGATGTGGGGGACTGGGTGTGACTCTTTGCCATCCTTATATACAGAATCAGGGTAGAGTTCCTGCGCTTCTCCTGGGGTAGGGAAGCAAGTCATGGGTGTTTTACAGCCTGACTTTCTGGTAGTTACTTTTCCAACAATAAAAAAATATTCTGGGGTGGGGTGGGGAGAGAGGAAGCAGGAAGGAGAATGAAATCTTCCATTTTAAAATTAACTAAGTTAAGATGATTTTTTTTTCTTAGGAAGAAGCAACAGGATTGTACCCACCTATAACGAGAAAGCTTAACTTACTGACATATTCTCATTGCTGAAGACTCTGTCTGAATGAGGATTTCAATCTCAAGTCTAGGATGTGATTTCATCTGGTAAATGTCTTATGGAAGGCTGAGGAGCAGCCTAATGAGGTACTGCTGAGTTGGGAGGAGGTGGGAGGAGCTGAGAGGGCTATCTGGACTCACTTCCCTCAAAATGAAACCTTGATATTTTCAAAGCTTGTGTCCCTGGAGCCCTCACTTGGGTTAGGGGGAGACCCCTGATTTTATTTATTCATGCTAGGGATGGTAATACCTTGTTCTCTAGGTCCTGGGCTTTCTAAAGAAGATTATTTTTAGCTCTAAAGTTAAATGACACATTGTTTGGGGGAGGAGGGGAGATCCTTTGATGGGGTCCTTTAAAAGAGTGCCCCACCCCCAACGCTGTCCTCTTGCCTTGGCAGGACCTCTTGGCAGGACCTGTCTGAGTACTTTGGACAAAGACAGTAAGCATCATTGCTTCTGTTTGCGGCTAGTTTTTCTTTCTGTTTCCAGGTGAAGGGGAGAGGCAGACACGGAAGAAGCGCATCTGTAGCTAAGAAAGAAATACACTGACCCCATTTCCAGTGGTTGAGCTTCTCTCCAAGTAGGTAGATGCTGGCGATGAAGACGTAGCTGAGAGAGAAGAAAGCTGCTAGACCCAAGAGGCTGAGTTTGGCAAACACAGGATACACCCAGGTACCCGTCTCAAAGTAGAGCCATAGGATGCTGCAGGAAATAAGAAGTCGTGGTGGTTATAGCAGGAGGAGAAAAACAAGCCATTTTCTCATCAGGATTAATGAGGTACTGGTACCCAGGCAGGGGAAGAGAACCCATCAGGGACGTTTGTCAACAGCTGTAGTATTCCCACAAACCTAAAGAAGTGAGGCTTTTCTGGGTAAATCAACTTGATTCAATAAGACATGCTGTTTGATGGGCTGGGCTGGGCTGTTTTACCTAATCCACTTAAATTCAACATTGGTGAAAAAATATAAGAGAACATAGGGCCAGGCACTGTGGCTCATGCCTGTAATCCCAGCACTTTGGGAGGCTGAGGGGGGTGGATCACCTGAGGTCAGGAGTTCGAGAGCAGCCTGGCCAACATGATGAAACCCCATCTCCACTAAAAATACAAAAAATTAACTGGGCATGGTGGCTCAGGCCTGTAATCCCAGCTACTAGGGAGGCGGAGGAAGAAGAATCGCTTGAACCTGGGAGGCAGAGGTTGCAGTGATCCAAGATCACGCCACTGCACTCTAGCCTGGGCAACAAGAGTGAAACTTTGTCTCAAAAACAAACAAACAAACAAACAAACAAACATAGAACCATCGTTAGCTAAAGAACTAAAGAGAGTATGTGGGAACATGAATGATCCCTTTCCCTGAGAGGTATGGCCTGCTGAGACATTGAACCTGCTATTATGGCATTGATTTTGCTGGCTCTAAGCCAGAGAAGTGGGGTTTGCTTTTTTGGATCTAAGAATCAGGTGCAGCTTTCCCTTAGCTCTCCAAGTCTGCGGGGATGAGGGAGCAGAGATAGAGCGTTATTGCCCTAACACAATATGCCTAGGATTTAACTGTCGGCCCTGATTTTCACTCATGCATATAGCCATAAATAGAGTGTTAGGCAGTAATGCATGGATTTGCAGGGAGGCTCAGATCTTGCTTATGTGAGGATAGGCTGTAAGTCATTTCTGGAAGCCGAGAGAAGGAAAAGAAATGCTAGGAGAAGAGCCATGATGTCTAAGTGAAGCCTAAAAATGCAGTTTGCTGGAAACCAACTGCACTGGAAGGTGCCAAAGTCTGAAATAACTTTAAAAAATTAAATGTGGGGAAGCTGATGCATCAGCTACAGTTCATCATTGGTTAGGAGCACAGAATCTGGAACTGGGCTTCTGTGATTCAAACCCCAGCTCTGCCACCTAGTAGCTATGTTACCTCCAGCAATTTCATCAACCTTTCTGTCCCCATCTCCTCAATGTGTAAAGTGAAGATCCAAACAGCATACACCTTCTAAGGCTGTTGTAAAGATTACGGGAGTTAACACATGTAAAAGACACAGAACAGTGCTTGGCACATTGTAATATTTGACAAGAGTTCAAAAGCTTCCATCTCCACTGAGGGATGGCACAATGGGAGTGCTCTCAGAAAGCCTTCTTTGAAGCTGCTGATCTCTTGTAGCAATTAGGATAGGCCAGGTTATGCTTCAAAAACAATATTTAAATTTGAATATCCCACGTTGTCAAAGGAATTCAGATGGAAGAATGAAATTCTGTGCTTAAACTTTCAGAAACCCAAGGGTGATCTCTGTCATTTCAAATACTTGAAGTTTGTTAAATGGTTTGTGGAAGAGTCAAGGGCTATATTCAGGACCGGGAGTAGGGTGAAGCAAGAGAGGCCCTAGGGTGTAAAACTTAAGGGATCATCTCTGCAACAAAGGACACAATAAACAGTGTGAAAAGGCAATCCATGGAATGGGAAACAATATTTCTAATCATATCTCTAATAAGGGGTTAATATCCAAAATATGTAAAATATTCCTGTAACTCAACAATAACAAAAAACCCAAATAACTCAATTAAAAATGGACAAAGGACTTGAATAGACCTTTTACAGAGAAGATACATAAAAGGCCAACAAATGCATGAAAGGATGTTCAACATCACTAATAACTAGAAGAAATGCAAATCAAAATGACAGTGAGATATTGTCTTACACTCATTAGGATGGATACTATATTTTTTTTAAAAAGACAAGATAACAAGTGTTAGTAAGGACATAGAGAAATTGGAACCCTTGTTCATTGTTGGTAGGAATGGAAGATGGTACATCTGCCTTGGAAAACTATATGGTGGTTCTCCCCAAAATTAAAATAGAATTACCATCTGATCCAGCAATTCCACTTCTGGGTACACACCCAAAAGAACTGAAAACATGGCTAACATGGTGAAACCCCATCTCTACTAAATATACAAAAAATTAGCCAGGCGTGGTGGCAGGTGCCTGTAGTCCCAGCTACTTGGGAGGCTGAGGGCAGGAGAATGGCATGAACCTGGGAGGCAGAGCTTGCAGTGATTGGAGATCGCGCCACTGCACTCCAGCCTGGGCGAGAGAATGAGACTCTATCTCAAAAAAAAAAAAAAAAGGAATTGAAAACAGGGATCTGAAGAGATATTTGTACACCCATGTTTATAGCAGCATTATTCACAATAGCCTGAAGGTGGAATCTCCCCAAGTGCCCACTGATAGATGAATGGATAAATAAAATGTGGCTTATACATAGGCATTAAGAAGGAAGAACATTCTGACACATGCTACCACACAGATCAACTTTGAAGACATGGTAAGTGAAATAAACCAGTCGTAAAAGGACAAATACTGTATAATTCCATTTATATGAGAAACCTAGAATGTCAGATTCATAGAGGGAGAAAGTAGAATGGTGCTTGCCATGTGGTTGCGGGAGGAGGCAGCGGGGAATGCTATCTATGGTTTCAATATGGTTTGTTTGTTCGTACCAAAACTCATGTTGAAATTTGGTCCTGCGTGTGTTGGTGTTGGGAGGGGGAGCCTAGTGGGAGGTGTTCGGGTCATGGGGTTGGATCTCCTAAGAATGGTTTGATGCTGTTCTTGTGATAGTAAGCTCTAGAAATGGATTTTTTCTATGAGAATGGGTTGTTATAAATCTAGGGTGCCCCTCAGGTTTTGCCCTTTTCACACGTGTCCATTTCCCCTTTGATCTTCTCCACCACATTGTGAGGCAGCAGTAAGGCCCTTGTCGGCAGCCAGGGCCATGCCCTTGAACTTCTCAGCCTGCAGAATATGAACTAAATAAACCTCTTTTCAATCTCTGATATCCTTTTATAGCAACACAAAATGGACTGAGCCAGGGAGTT